>NC_000022.11:11428056-11497337 GCF_000001405.40 Homo sapiens
GATCCCATTTGTCAATTTTGGATTTTGTGGCCATTGCTTCTGTTGTTTTAGACATGAAGTCCTTCCCATGCCTATTTCCTGAATGGTAATGCCTAGTTTTTCTTCTAGGGTTTTTATGGTTTTAGGTCTAACATTTAAGCCGTTAATGCATCTTGAATTAATTTTTGTATAAGGTGTAAGGAAGGGATCCAGTTTCATCTTTCTACATATGGTTAGCCAGTTTTCCCAACACCATTTATTAAATAGGGAATCCTTTCCCCATTGCTTGTTTTTCTCAGGTTTGTCAAAGATCAGATAGTTGTAGATAAGCGGCGTTATTTCTGAGGGCTCTGTTCTATTCCATTGATCTATATCTCTGTTTTTGTACCAGTACCATGCTGTTTTTATTACTGTAGCCTTGTAGTATAGTTTGAAGTCAGGTAGCGTGATGCCTCCAGCTTTGTTCTTTTGGCTTAGGATTGACTTGGTGATGCGGGCTCTTTTTTGGTTCCATATGAACTTTAAAGTAGTTTTTTCCAATTGTGTGAAGAAAGTCATTGGTAGCTTGATGGGGATGGCATTGAATCTATAAATTACCTTGGGCAGTATAGCCATTTTCACGATATTGATTCTTCCTATCCGTGAGCATGGAATGTTCTTCCATTTGTTTGTATCCTCTTTTATTTCATTGAGCAGTGGTTTGTAGTTCTCCTTGAAGAGATCCTTCACGTCCCTCATAAATTAGATTCCTAAGTATTTTATTCTCTTTGAAGCAATTGTGAATGGGAGTTCACTCATGATTTGGCTCTCTGTTTGTCCGTTATTGGTGTATAAGAATGCTTGTGATTTTTGTACATTGATTTTGTATCCTGAGACTTTGCTGAAGTTGCTTATCAGCTTAAGGAGATTTTGGGCTGAGACAATGAGGTTTTCTAGATATACAATCATGTCGTCTGCAAACAGGAAGAATTTGACTTCCTCTTTTCCTAATTGAATACCCTTTATTTCCTTCTCCTGCCTAATTGCCCTGGCCAGAACTTCCAACACTATGTTGAATAGGATTGGTGAGAGAGGGCATCCCTGTCTTGTGCCAGTTTTCAAAGGGAATGCTTCCAGTTTTTGCCCATTCACTATGATATTGGCTGTGGCTTTGTCATAGATAGTTCTTATTATTTTGAGATATGTCCCATCAATACCTAATTTATTGAGAGTTTTTAGCATGAAATGTTGTTGAATTTTATCAAAGGCCTTTTCTGCATCTATTGAGATAATCACGTAGTTTTTGTCTTTGGCTCTGTTTATATGCTGGATTACATTTATTGATTTGCATATATTAACCCAGCCTCGCATCCCAGGGATGAAACCCACTTGATCATGGTGGATAAGCTTTTTTATGTGCTGTTGTATTTGGTTTGCCAGTATTTTATTGAGGATTTTTGCATCGATGTTCATCAAGGATATTGGTCTTAAATTCTCTTTTTTGGTTGTGTCTCTGCCCGGCTTTGGTATCAGAATGATGCTGGCCTCATAAAATGAGTTAGGGAGGATTCTCTCTTTTTCTGTTGATTGGAATAGTTTCAGAAGGAATGGTACCAGTTCCTCCTTGTACCTCTGGTAGAATTCGGCTGTGAATCCATCTGGTCCTGGACTCTTTTTGGTTGGTAAGCTATTGATTATTGCCATAATTTCAGATCCTGTTATTGGTCTATTCAGAGATTCAACTTCTTCCTGGTTCAGTCTTGGGAGAGTGTATGTGTGGAGGAATTTATCCATTTCTTCTAGATTTTCTAGTTTATTTGCGTAGAGGTGTTTGTAGTATTCTCTGATGGTAGTTTGTATTTCTGAGGGATCAGTGGTGATATCCCCTTTGTCATTTTTTATTGTGTCTATTTGATTCTTCTCTGTTTTTCTTTATTAGTCCTTCTAGCGGTCTATCAATTTTGTTGATCTTTTCAAAAAACCAGCTCCTGGATTCATTAATTTTTGAAGGGTTTTTTGTGTGTCTATTTCCTTCAGTTCTGCTCTGATTTTAGTTATTTCTTGCCTTCTGCTAGCTTTTGAATGTGTTTGCTCTTGCTTTTCTAGTTCTTTTAATTGTGATGTTAGGGTGTCAATTTTGGATCTTTCCTGCTTTCTCTTGTGGGCATTTAGTGCTATAAATTTCCCTCTACACACTGCTTTGAATGTGTCCCAGAGATTCGGGTATGTTGTGTCTTTGTTCTCGTTGGTTTCAAAGAACATCTTTATTTCTGCTGTCATTTCGTTATGTACCCAGTAGTCATTCAGGAGCAGGTTGTTCAGTTTCCATGTAGTTGAGCAGTTTTAAGTGAGTTTCTTAATCCCGAGTTCTAGTTTGATTGCACTGTGGTCTGAGAGACAGTTTGTTATAATTTATGTTCTTTTACCTTAGCAGAGGAGGGCTTTACATCCAAGTATGTGGTCAATTTTGGAATAGGTATGGTGTGGTGCTGAAAAAATGTATATTCTGTTGATTTGGGGTGGAGAGTTCTGTAGATGTCTATTAGGTCCGCTTGGTGCAGAGCTGAGTTCAATTCCTGGGTATCCTTGTGAACTTTCTGTCTCGTTGATCTCTCTAATATTGACAGTGGGGTGTTAAAGTCTCCCATTATTATTGTGTGGGAGTCTAAGTCTCTTTGTAGGTCTCTCAGGACTTGCTTTATGAATCTGGGTGCTCCTGTATTGGGTGCATATATATTTAGGATAGTTAGCTCTTCTTGTTGAATTGATCCCTTTACCATTATGTAATGGCCTTCTTTGTCTCTTTTGATCTTTGTTGGTTTAAAGTCTGTTTTATCAGAGACTAGGATTGCAACCCCTGCCTTTTTTTGTTTTCCATTTGCTTGGTAGATCTTCCTCCATCTTTTTATGTTGAGCCTGTGCATGTCTCTGCACGTGTGATGGGTTTCCTGAATACAGCACACTGATGGGTCTTGACTCTTTATCCAATTTGCCAGTCTGTGCCTTTTAATTGGAGCATTTAGTCCATTTACATTTAAAGTTAATATTGTTATGTGTGAATATGTTCCTGTCATTATGATGTTAGCTGGTGATTTTGTTCATTAGTTGAAGCAGTTTCTTCCTAGTCTCGATGGTCTTTACAATTTGGAATGTTTTTGCAGTGGCTGGTACTGATTGTGCCTTTCCATGTTTAGTGCTTCCTTCAGGAGCTCTTTTAGAGCAGGCCTGGTGGTGACAAAATCTCTCAGCATTTGTTGTCTGTAAAGTATTTTATTTCTCCTTCACTTATGAAGCTTAGTTTGGCTGGATATGAAATTCCGGGTTGAAAATTCTTTTCTTTAAGAATGTTGAATATTAGCCCCCACTCTCTTCTGGCTTGTAGAGTTTCTGCCGAGAGATCAGTTGTTAGTCTGATGGGCTTCCCTTTGTGGGTTAACCCGACCTTTCTCTCTGGCTGCCCTTAACATTTTTTCCTTCATTTCAACTTTGGTGAATCTGACAATTATGTGTCTTTGAATTGCTGTTCTCGAGGAGTATCTTTGTGTGGTTCTCTGTATTTCCTGAATCTAAATGTTGGCCTGCCTTGCTAGATTGGGGAAGTTCTCCTGGTTAATATCCTGCAGAGTGTTTTCCAACTTAGTTCCATTCTCCCCGTCACTTTCAGGTACACCAATCGGACGCAGATTTGGTCTTTTCAGATAGTCCCATATTTCTTGGAGACTTTTTTCATTTCTTTTTATTCTTTTTTCTCTAAACTTCCCTTCTCGCTTCATTTCATTCATTTCATCTTCCATCACTGATACCCTTTCTTCCAGTTGACTGTATCAGCTCCTGAGTTTTCTGCATTCTTCACTTAGTTCTCAAGCCTTGTCTTTCAGCTCCATCAGCTCCTTTAAGCACTTCTCTGTATTGGTTATTCTAGTTATACATTCGTCTAAAGTTTTTTCAAAATTTTCAACTTCTTTCCCTTTGGTTTGAATTTCCTCCTGTAGCTCGGACAAGTTTGATCGTCTGAAGCCTTCTTCTCTCAACTTGTCAAAGTCATTCTCTATCCAGCTTTGTTCCATTGCTAGTGAGGAACTGCGTTCCTTTGGAGGAGGAGAAACACTCTGCTTTTTAGAGTTTCCAGTTTTTCCGCTCTGTTTTTTCCCCATCTTTGTGGTTTTATCTACTTTTGGTCTTTGATTATGGTGATGTACAGATGGGTTTTTGGTGTGGATATCCTTTCTGTTTGTTAGTTTTCCTTCTAACAGACAGTACCCTCTACTGCATGTCTGTTGGAGTTTGCTAGAGGCCCATTCCAGACCCTGTTTGCCTGGATATCAGCAGTGGTGTCTGCAAAACCGTGGATTTCGTTATCCGCAAATGCTGCTGACTGATCATTCCTCTGGAAGTTTTGTCTCAGAGGAGTACCCGGCCATGTGAGGTGTCAGTCTTCCCCTACTGGTTGGTGCCTCCCAGTTAGGCTGTTCAGGGCTCAGGGGTCAGGGACCCACTTGAGGAGGCAGTCTGCCCATTCTCCCATCTCCAGCTGTGTGCTGGGAGAACCACTGCTCTCCTCAAAGGTGTCAGACTGGGACATTTAAGTCTGCAGAGGTTACTGCTGTCTTTTTGTTTGTCTGTGCCCTGCCACCAGAGGTGGAGCCTGCAGAGGCAGGCAGGCCTCCTTGAGCTGTGGTGGGCTCCACCCAGTTCGAGCCTCCTGGCTGCTTTGTTTACCTAAGAGAGCATGGGTAATGGCGGGTGCCCCTCCCCCAGCCTGGCTGCCACCTTGCAGTTTGATCTCAGACTGCTGTGTTAGCAATCAGCGAGACTCCGTGGGCGTAGGACCCTCCAAGCCAGGTGCAGGATATAATCTCCTGGTGAGCCGTTTCCTAAGCCCATCAGAAAAGCACAGTATTAGAGTGGGAGTGGCCCAATTTTCCAGGTGCCATCTGTTACCCCTTTCCTTGCCCAGGAATGGGAACTAACTCCCTGACCCCTTGTGCTTCCCGAGTGAGGCAATGCCTCGCCCTGCTTCAGCTGGCGCATGGTGCACTTCACCCACTCTCCTGCACCCACGGTCTGGCACTCCCTAGTGAGATGAACCCAGTACCTCAAATGGAAATGCAGAAATCACCCGTTTTCTGCGTCACTCATGCTGGGAGCTGTAGACCGGAGCTGTTCCTATTCGGCCATCTTGGCTCCTCCTACCATTATTTTTTAATATTATCTGAAAATCTTCTTTAAAGAGAGAAAGCCAAATGTCACCCACTTTTTCATAAAACCTTATAGGCAAATCTATTATTTTTTTTTTGAGGTGGATTTTCCCTCTTGTTGCCCAGGCTGGAGTGCAATGGTGCGATCTCGGTCCACTGCAACCCCCTGCCTCCCAGGTTCAAGTGATTCTCCTGCCCCAGCCTCCTGAGTAGCTGGGATTAGAGGCATGCCCCACCATGCCCAGATAATTTTGTGTTTTTAGAAGACACGGGGTTTTTCCTTGCTGGTCAGGCTGGCCCTGAATTCCTGACCTCAGGAGATCCACCTGCCTCGGCCTCCCCAAGTGTTGGGATTACAGGCATGAGCCACTGCCTCTGGCCTTTTTTTTTTTTAAAGATAGCGTCTTGCTCTGTCACCCTCCTCAGCACATTATAGCTATGGGGGCCAAGCTGCATCACAGTGGAAATCATGGAGATACAGGAAGAATCCACTCAGCTTTGCAAGATGCTGCCCAAGGGGTTGCTTGGAGTAACCAAATTAACATTTTTCATTCTGCTCAGAGCAAAATACATGTGACAAAACATAGACACGAGCCACTTTGCTTAGCACCCAGTGTCAAACTGGTAAGACTCAAACTTGCTCCCAGATAGGCCGTGCCATCTCTAAATCTTTTTAGAAGCTTCTGCATATTAATAGGCATCCCTAGATGAGACTAATTTGGGAGGCCTCATTTTTAAATGCATTCCAGGGCATTATTCATTTGGAATGTTCCACTGTAAGTTATCTTTAGTAAGATTTTGCCATTTCTGTAAGACTTTGCTGCTTCCCAGGCCTAATGAATTAGCCAGAAGGAGCTTAGTTTTCCAGAAATTAAGGATCCTATTTTTACCTAATATATTGGCTTTACTCCCAGGTTCCCTTGATTGACTTAGCCAATTTTTTTTTCCTACCTAAGCATGCGAGGAAAATGAAACAAAGGTGTAGAACACAAAAATCCCCGTGAATTTTCAAAAGCCAAATTTTACAACCCTCCAATATTATCATTTATTACCACTTTCTTTCTGACCCATTCAGATGTAGGAGGCCTCTAACTGGAACTGGATTCAAGCCAGTTAACTACTGGATGAAATCTGATCCTGGACCCGGTCCCGTTTCTGTTATAACTTCTAAAACATCCAGCCAGTCATGGCTGGATAGCAGTTTGGAACAGAAATTTGCTTAAAGAAACTCAGAGCTCAAAACACAAATCCATGGAGCTCTGAAATCCGAGAGAGAATTTACCATGATCCCCAGCTGCTCCAAGAGGTCAAAGGGCACAAGTGTTACAGAATCCTGAGGCATCGCTTTTCTGCCTGAAACCTCTGGCTGGTGGCGCTTTTTCCTGTGTTTTGCTCGGGCCCACTGGGTTCGTTCTGTCCACTCGGCTCATGCTAGTGGTCTGGATCCCACACATGCCAAGGGTGAACTGGGTACAGAGCAGTGAAGGGTGTGTGAGCAAGCGAGCATGGGATCTAGCCACTGCACACAGCCAAGCATGCCAGCTGCAGTGGAGTGGGCAGCTCCAGGCACCGGCACAGGTGCCAGCTCCCTGTGAGGCTGCAGCTGGACCAGGCCGACTGCAAACAGCTTCCACTGTGGGTATCAGGGAATGCAGTGGCGCCCGGAAGCTTGGAGATGCAGGAACTGCAGAGTCCCAAAGAAGGTGTCACAGCTCTGGCTTGGGGAGCTCCTATGTCTGGGATCCCTGAAAGGCCACAGCTCTTCTCTCCTTCTCTCTTCTCTTCTTCTTGCCTGCAATTTGGCACGCAAGGGGTGCGTTTCAGCCCTGTTTATGTTACATCTCTTTCAGCGCTGCTAGTTGGCAGGTCCCAAGTTCTTGTCCTGAGTCCAGGAAGAATGAGGTATGTGGACAAGTAGAAGGTGAGCAAGGTGAAGAGGTGCTTTATTGAGCAACAGTACAGCTCAGAGGAGACCTGCAGTGGATAGCTCCTTTCTGCAGGCAGGTCATCCCAACGTCTGTTCAGCTGTTCAGCTCTCAGCAGCTGAGAGAGACACACAGTGGGTAGCTGTGCCCACAGTGCCCAGGCTGTTCGAGCTGAGGAGTGCCTTCAGGCCAGTGCTGAGCCACTCTTAGCCTCACCTCAACCTCCCTCCTGTGCTCGTCAGTGCCCAAAGTCTGGAAGGGGCTGAGGTGGCAGGGGGCTGGCATGTCAGCACTGCCCTGAGCTTGCACAAACCGGGCTGGGTTGTGACTGTGCCTGGGTTCAGCCTTAACTTGGATCCGAAGTTGGAGTGGGCTCTGGGAGCAGAGAGACGCCAGGTGGTGGGACCAGGTACAACTGAGCCTGCGGGGGCAGGGGGGCTTGCTGGGCCTCTGAGAGTGCAAAGATGCCTGGGTTTGCAGTCATGGCTGGATGGCTGCAGCTGTGCCTGGGAGGGTGGGGCTCCTGCCTGCCAATTTAGAAGGGGTGGGGCTCCCACCTGTTCCTGGCTCCCACCAGCTTCGAGGAGTGCACAGGCCCAGCCATTCCTCCCCACTGCAGCCAGTGTCTCCGTAGCAACTGCTCCACGTGGGCCACTGCTGGCATCACAATGCGGTCCTTGCAGGTGCCTTTCTTGTACCTCAGCACTCCTGGGGGTCATTAGAAGCCCTAGCAACACTGCTCACCACACTATAGCTCTGGAGGCCCTAGCAGTCCTGCTCCCACAGATCCCACTTCTGACACCATCTATTAAAAGAAAATCTTCAGCTGAATTAAATTTAAAGGAACTTAATTGAACAATGAATGATTCACGAATCAGGCAGCCCCAGAATCACAGCAGATTCAGTGAGACTCCAGCACAGCTACATGGTGGAAGATTTATAGACAATAAAGGGAACATGATGTACAGAAATCTGAAGTGAGGAGTGAGGTCCAGAAGCAATTGGGTCCGTTACAGTTCTCAGCAGTGAGGTCCAGAAACAACTGGACTGGTTACAGTGCTCAGCATTTGCCTTATTTGAACACAGCTGAACACTCAGCCGTGTGTGAGTGGCAGAAGTTTGGCTGTTGGGATTGGCCAGGACTCAGCTATAGTTACAGGTGCATACTCCTAAGTTAGGTTTTCAGTCTTTCTACCTATTAAGTTAGGTTGCAGTTTGCCCACAGGGACTCAAATCTAGAAGTACGGAGTCCTTCCCAGGTCATATTTAGTTCGGTGTAATAGTTCCTATTATGACCTCACTGACAGTTCTTTTTCTCTGAATTCTCCTTTCTTCTCAACAGCTTATCCAAATGTTCCGTTGGTCGCTGTTCATCCCGCCCTGCAGTTCTCCTAGACTGATTCAACCCTTTGTGGTTTGCAGTCCTGTTTCTCTACAGCTTGGACCTCTTATTCTTTCCATCATAGGTTTAACACTCTGTTGAATGCTTCTTTGTAGCTATCCAAAATTTACCTTAAGCTCAAAAAATTCAAAGTGAAAGCCACATCCTTCTCTCTTCCCTTCTGTGTATGGTATTACTACCATGAGCCAGTGACCCAAAATAGGATTTCTTCTGGGCTTTTCTTGCTTAGATTCAGGCTCATCTGGTGTCAAGCCTTGTTACTTTTGTTTCTTTGTTCTTTTATTTTTAATTTTTTTTCTTTTGAGACAAAGTTTCACTCTTGTTGCCCAGGCTAGAGCTCAGTGGTGTGATCTCAGCTCACTGCAGGCTCCATCTCCCAGATTCAAGCAATTCTCCTGCCTCAGCTCCTGAGTAGCTGGTATTACAGGCATTTGCCACCACGCCTGGCTAATTTTGTATTTTTAGTAGAGATGGGATTTACTGTTTTGATCAGGGTGGTCTCGAACTCCCGACCTCAGGTGATCTGCCCGCCTCGGCCTACCAAAGTGCTGGGATTACAGGCATGAGCCACCGTGCCTGGCCTGCTTGTTGTTTTCATCTTATCCTGATTTCCGAATACAGGAGAGGAGCTGAGTTGGTGTTCACTAACAAGCACGGCAGCTTTGTTACATTTACCGTGTCATTCTTGGCAAAACCTGAAGGGTGTGTTTGTAGGGTGACGAGGTTCAGTCCCCTGTGACCTGTGCATCTGGCCAGCACTGTGGTGACATCCTTAGGAATCCATGGGGAAAGAGAAAGCATTTCAAAGTTAGTGGGTCACGTTTGACAAGGGCCAGTAAAGAAATATGCAAAGACAAAAAACAAGAAGAACATTGTCATATTTTCTACCTTTTGTTTATATAAATTTATGTCAATGATTCTAGCTTATGTTAATATGCAATGTATACAATATGCTAACATATACAATATATGTTTATAGTTTAAACATTTCTGTCATGTTTTCAGATTCTTTAAAGATTATATTACACTTCCTATTTCAGATAGCTGCTTAAAATGAGTAAGGAAAAACGGATGTGTGCATCAGTTGTAACTGTTTATGGACTAAAACTAGTTGATTTCCTGGTTGAGAACAAAAAGTGACAAACTAATTAACTGAAAATTTTAAGTAGGCAGTTATAGTTTTAGCTTTAAAGTAAAATATTAACTATGCTCCATTCTTGCATTTTTAACCTAATACTCAATATAAATCGCCACATGCCATGTTTCAGATCAAGGTTCTCCTTGTGATCTCTCATGAGTTTTTCAAGGTTTTAATTATCTGCGATGTAACTACGTACCAGTAACCTTACTGGCTTAAACCAGGAATTTATTCTTTTTCCATGTCACAATTTTCTGGGTCAAGACACTGGAGAGAGCGGTGTGGGTTGGCTGCTTCATGATGTCCCTGGTCTCATCTGGAAGGACTCTAGTGGCTGGGGACGTGAAGCAGGCACCCAGAAGGACTCTAGTGGCTGGGGACATGGAGCAGGCACCCAGCCCTCTGTGGCCAGCACGGACTTCCTTCCAGTCTGGCAGCATCAAGTAGTCAGGTTTGTCTGGCTTCTCCCAGGGTGTGTGTCCAAGAGGCCCAGGCAAAAGCTGTAAGGCCTCTCATGATTGCCCCTCAAAAGTCCCAGAGCATCCCTCCTGCCACACTGTCCAGTTGTACTCATCACTGAGACCAGCCATGATTCAAGGGGGATAGGTGATTAGATTCCACCTCTTGATGAGAAGCATAGTAGGAACCTGCAGCAGTCTTTAATAAACCACAGCTTGTCCTCTGGCCACAAACTATTAACGCTTCTCCCACATGCAAATTATTCTTTGCCCCTCTCAAGAGCCCCAGAATGGTTTTCCTTATGGCACTGGCTGGTAGCCCAACTGAATCCTGAATCAGTTTGTGGTGGCCTGTCATCTGCACCCACACACACAGCCACAGTGAGGACTGAATCAGGTTGTGGTGGCCTGTCATCTGCACCCGACACACTCAGCCGCAGTGAGAACTGAATCAGGTTGTTGTGACCTATCATCTGCACCCACACACTCAACCGCAGTGAGGGGAGTGGTGTGAAAACAGTCGGCATTTCCCTTTAGAAGCTGTTGGTGGGAGGTAGGAGGGAGGTGCTGCCCTGCAGGCCCCGTCTAACAGTTGGTCATTCCCATGGGGCGCCTGTTACAGTTCTGTGATTAGTGCCCAGTCCTGGTCCCTGAGAACCGCGCCCAGTCCTGGTCCCTGAGAACGGCGTTTGTATCCTTTTACTCCTCCCTCTGGGCTTTTGTCATTCTCCATGTTCTATTTCCTTCATTGCCTGGGTTGCCGTTGACCAAATTTCTCTGCCTCTTTCTTATGGTCAATAGGGTATTCAATGGCTTCTTTTTCATTTTTTTTTTCCTTTTCTTTTCTTTTTTTTTTTGCTTTGGCCTTTTGAGACAAGAAATTATTTCTTTATATTTTCTCTAAATTCTGTTTGAAAACTGAACCTCCTTCTTTAGATCATGTCCCTCTCCTCTCATATTTATTCAGTGACAGTTAAGGGAGGCTTGTAGCACTTTCCATGTTCTTCCCAGATGTCTCCTTAGGCAGATCCCTGAGATGGTGCAGTGCCCTTTCAGTTTCCATGTTGTGGCCGTAGTTTTCTCACAGTCCCTCAGCACGTAACTCTCAGGCCTTTTCTCCAGTTTCCAATGACATTTTCTCACAGTCCTTCAGGCCCTGACCAAGAGTCTTGATGCCCTTCCAGGTTGCATGAATGGTCTCCTTGAGGCCCAGTTACAGGTCAGCCTCACAGTCGTGGCACATATTGTAGCTTCTGATTACTACAGTGGCTCATTTCCAGCTGCTATATTCTGTTCCAGTTATCTATTCTGAAGAAACCATCCCCAAAACTTGGCAGCTTAAAACAACTCATTATTACTTGTTTTTTGGCTTAGAGAGTCTTGGTGGCCAGCTCACCTCACACACAGTTGCACCCAAGCTGGATTGTGTGAAAGCACAGCGGGGTGGTGTGCAGGGTGTCTCACTAGTGGTTGGGAGTGGATGTTGCTGGAGGCTCACTAGTGGTTGGGAGTCGGTGTTGCTGGAGGCTCAGTGAGGGATGTCAATGCGTGTAGCTAGTCATGGACTGGCTGTGTTTTTTCCATCATGGGGTCTCAGGGGAGTGGGATTTCCTGCCTGGTGACTGGCTTTCTCCTGGATTAGTGTTCTGTTTTCTCAGCCTGGCTTCTGAAGTCCCCAAATACCACCTTTGTCACCTTCTGTTGGCCAAATAAGTCAGTAGTCTGGGCAAGGTTTAAGGGGAATTGGTTCTCACAGAGAGAGGAGCAGGAAAGAAGTTGTCACCTTTAGTCTACCTGAAATGTGATTTTTATAAAAACTTTGTTCCAAATACATTCCAGTTCCCCTTGTGAATACTTTTTTGACTCACAGGATATTTCAAAGTTTATTACTTGGTTTTCAGACATTTGAGGCTTTTCTGGATATCAATTTGTTGTTGGTTTCTAATTTAATTTCAAGTGTTCAGAGAAACATACTTTGTATACTATTTCAGGCTTGAACCTTTCCTCAATCGATCAACATACAGTCTAACTTGGTACTGCCAAGTACCATTTGGGTCAGGATTTTGTCATTTAGATCCGTATTTTTCCTATATTTTTATCTGGTTGTTCCATCAGTTACTGAGGGAGCAGTATTAATTCACCAGCTATAATTTTGGATTGTCAATTTCCTGCTTTTGTTCTGTTGTTTTTGATTCACATACTTTGAGGCTCTGTGAGTGTGTGTACTTTGTGTGCACTTTGAGGCACAATTTATAATTGTAACATCATCCTCTCTGATTCTTTTATTTTTATGAAATTAGCCTGTTTATTTCTGGTGATATATTTTATTCTGAAGCCTCTTTCATCTAGTGTTAACATCTCCATTGAAGCTTTTTATGATTAGTGTCTGGATAGCATAATTTTATGATTAGTGTCTGCATAGCATATTTTTTCTCATACTTTGTGTCTTTGTGTTTAAATTGTGTCTCTGTGGATGCCATATTATTGGGTCTTGCTTTCCTCTCAGGTCTGGCAGTCTCTGTCTTAAGTAGAGCATTTGTCCAGTTACATTGTAACTAATCATTGCTAAGGTTGGTTTTAGGTCTGCCATTTTTCTACTTATTTTCTATTTGTTTATTTTTTTTAAGACAGGGTCTTCCTCTGTCACCCAGACTGTAGTGCAATGGTGCAATCTTGGCTCACTGCAAACTCTGCCTCCCAGGCCCAACCAATCTTCACTTGAGACCCCTGAGTAGCTGGGACTACAGGTACATGGCACCACACCTGGCTAATTTTTATATTTTTTGTAGAGATAGGGTTTTGCCATGTTGCACGGGCTGGTCTTGAACTCCTGAGCTCAAGCAATCTAACCACGTTGGCCTCCCAGAGTGTTCAGATTACAGGCATAAGCCACCATGCCTGGCCTTCGTCTGTCTTTTGATCTTCTATGTGTTCTTTCCTAACTTCTTTTGGGTTAAATATTTCTAAATATTCCAGTTTGATTAATCTTTTGGCTTTTTGAAATAATTTTTTATAGGCTAGGCATGGTGGCTTATGCTCGTAATCTCAGCTCTGTGGGAGGCCAAGGGAGGTGGATTGCTTGAGCCCAGGAGGTTGAGACCAGCCTGGGCAACATGGCAAAACCCTCTCTACAAGGAAACCAAACCAAAATTTAGCCTGACATCTTGGTGTGCACCTGTAGTCCCAATTATTTGGGAGGCTTAGGTGGGAGGGTTGCTTGAGCCTGAGAGGTTGAGGCTGCAATGAGCTGTGATCATGCCATTGCACTCCTGCCAGGGCAACAGAGTAAGATCCTGTGTCAAAAAAGTTCATTTTTTTATAAGTAATTTATTATTTAGAATTTTGGTAACAAATACATACCTTAAAATTTACCGTCATAACAAGTTGTAAGTATACAGTTTTGTAGAGTTAATAATATTTACAGTGTTGTGTAGCAGATTTCTAGATTTTTATCTTGGAAAACTCTATACCCATTTAACAACTATTAATTTTCCCCTCCTTCCACCTCCTGCAAGTACTATTCTACTTTGTGTTTCTAAAAATTCGGCTTATATACCTAGGGTTATGTAATATTTGTTGTTTTGTAAGTAGGTTCCATATTATGTGTCAGATGTGTCAGGATTTTCTTCCTTTCTATGGCTGAATAATATTTCTTCATATATATATATTTTTTTTCCATATATATATTTTCTATATATATATATATATATATATATATCCTTTTGTTTATCCATCTATTCCCGGAGGGACGTTTTGGTTTCTTCCACCTTGTGGCTGTGTAATGCTGCTGTGAACATAGGTGTGCACATATCTGTTTGAGGTCCTGCTACTAGTTATTCTGTCTCTGTAGAAGTTGGATGGCTGGATCATACGGTCATTTTATTTTATTTTTTTTTGAGAAGCCAGTTCATATTTCCACCAACAGTGTTCAAGGGTTTCAGTTTCACCTGCACTTGTTACTTTCTGTTGGGTTTGAAGTGATGTCCCTTTGTGGTTTCTATTTGCATTTCTCTAATGACTAGTGATGTTACACATCTTTTCATATATCTCATGTATCTGTTGGCTATTTGTATATCATCTTTGTATCTTTGGATAAATGTTCTTTGTCCATTTCTTAATCACTTTATTTTGTTGTTGGGTTGTAGCGGGGTTTTTTGGTTATGATCATTCATTTATCTCACAGTTCATTCTCGTTACTTGGGCCAGGGACATGATCATTCATTATCTCTCAGTTCATCCTCATTACGTTGGGCAAACAGTCATGCTGCAGGGTACAGATTATGTTATTCTGTTACTTTCAGGTAGAATTGGGGTCTAGGTTCTAATTGCTTCTAAGTTTAGATTCTGAATGAGAATCAGCAGAGGTAGACCACTGCTGCTGCAGCCTGGGGATTGCTGAGAAAAAGGCAGGAAACAGATACGGACCTGACCATGGAGGGTTTTTGTTTCACAGCTCCCATCTGGTTACCCAAGGAACTTACATGTAGCTCGTGTGTGGAGAGCCTACATTGCCCACTCAAAGCAATTGAGGATGGAACAGTCTTGGGGCTGGAGCTCATTATTTGGAATGATAACCATATCTGCACAGAGAGGATCTGATAAGATGTTGTCCTTCCATGTATATCTGGGAATCCTGTGTAGGGTCTGTCTGTAAGGACAGGGGCAGTGTTGGCTCCTTGGCCTCTAGTTAGCCTCATGAGTAGTCTAGTAAAGGCTTTGCAAACTTGTCACCATCTGTGGAAATTCTGGCCAGCTCTTGTTTTCACCCTACTGACTTCTTCAGACACTAGGCTTTTGCTTTAGACCATTCATGGTTTTTCTTCCTCTTCAAATCAGTAATCAATAAAACCTCTTCAAATCAATAAATTTCCACTCCTTTAGGAAACTCTGATCTTCTGGCCATGCCAAGGTTTAATTAACTGGTTTAATTGTTTTTCTGTTTTCTTGGTTTCTTTTTCCTTCTTCCTGGGGGTTTCTAGTAATTTTAGTTTGATGTCTCACTTTCTCCATTTTTTATTTCTTAGTTTTCTTCTGTGATTATTTTCACTACAGCTGCAGGGCCTAATCCTGGGTTGGCAGAGAACAAGCACTTACTCTGCCCTAATTGGAATCCAGGAGAGATAGGAGGTGCCCTAGTATGAAAATGTGTTTGCTCCTTTCTGCTTCTGGTAGTCTCTCTGTAGGAGTACTTTACGTATTCTGGATGTTCACTTCTTATGAGTTACATGATGTGCAACTATAGATTGAATGTCTCTGATCCAAAAATCTGAAATCCCAAATGCTCCAAAGTCTGAAACTTTTTGAGTGCCAACATGACACTCAAAGGAAATGCTTATTGGAGCATCTCAGACTCAGGTGTTTGAATTCGATATGCTAAACCAGTAAGAATAATGCAAATATTACAAAATCTGAAACACATCCCAAGCATTTCAAATAAGGGACACTCAACTGGTATTTTCTTTTATTCTACAGTTTGCCTTTTACCCTGTTTGTTGTGACCTTTGAGGTACAGAAGTTTTTAAGTTTGATATATTTTTGCTTTTACTGCCTGAGCTTTTAATGTCATATCCTAAAAATTATTGACAAATTCATCGTCTTAAAGCATTTTCCAAATTTCTTTTCCCTAGGAGTTTGATAGTTGTAGTTTTACATTTAGGTTTATAATTCACTTTGAATTAATTTTAACATGGTGTAAGGTAAGAGTCCAACATCATTGTTTTGCATGTAGATATACAATTTTCCCAACAACATTTGTTGAAGAAACTGTCCTTCACCATTGAGTGGTCTTGGCATCCTTGTGGAAGATCATCGGACCATATATGCCAGGGTTGGTTTCTGAGGTCTCTGTTGTGTTGGTCCATAAGTGTGTCAAGTGTGTCTTTATGCCATGACCACATGTTTTTTTTGCTTATTGCAGTTTTGTAATTGTTTTGAGACCTTTAATTTTGTTCTGTTTCAAGATTGATTTGCCTATTCATGGGCCCTGGAGATTCCATATGAATCTTAGGATAGGTTTTTCTGTTTATCAAAAATGTCATTGGAATCTTTATAAGGATTGTATTGAATCTAGGTCACTTCGAGCAGTGTTGACATCATTCCAAGATGAAATCATCTAATCTGCAAACCCAGCTTTTCTTTTCATTTATTTGTGTTTAATTTCTTTCAACAGTGTTTTGTAGTTTTCTCTGTTCAAATCTTTTGCCCTCTTGGTTAAGCTTATTTCTAATTTTCTAATTTTTATAATGCTGTTGTAAATGTAATTCTTTTTTTTTTTTTTTTTTTGAGATGGAGTCTTGCTCTGTCTCCCAGGCTGGAGTGCAGTGGCACTATCTCAGCTCACTGCAACCTGCGCCTTCTTTATTCAAGCGATTCTCCAACTTCAGCCTCTCAAGTACCTGGGATCACAGGTGCGTGCCACCACACCCAGCTAATTTTTTGGTATTTTTAGTAGAGACAGGGTTTCTCCATGTTGACCAGGCTAGTCTTGAACTTGTGACCTCAGGGGCTCTGCCCCCCTCGGCCTCCCAAACTGCTGGGATTGCAGGCATGAACCACTGCACCCGGCCAAATGTCATTCTTTCTAAAAAATTATTTTCTTTTGTTTTCTCTTTCTTTTCTTTTCTTTCTCTCTCTTTCTTTCCTTTCTTTCTTTTCTTTGAGACGGCGTCTCACTCAGTTTCCTAAGCTGGAGCGCGGTGGCACAATCTCAGCTGACAGCAACCTCCACCTTCCAAGTTCAAGCAATTCTCCTGCCTCAGCCTCCCAAGTAGCTTGGACTACAGGTGTCTGCCACTACGCCCAGCTAATTTTTGTATTTTAAATAGAGACAGAGTTTTACTATTTATATTAGAGATGGGGTTGGCCCAGTTGGTCATGAACTCCTGACCTCAGGTGGTCTACCCGCCTTGGCCTCCCAAAGTGCTGGGATTATAAGTGTGAGCCACTGCACCTGGCCTCTCTTTTTAAAATTTTATTTGCAGATTGTTCATTGTTTGTTTATAGAAATGCAACTGACATGTGTGTGTTACTGTATCCTGAAACATTGTTGAATTTCATTATTTTACCAGTATTTTGTGGAATTTCAGGATTTTTATACATTACATCCTGTTGTCTGTGAACAAAATTTTGTACTTTTTCCTTTCCAATTTGCATGCTTTTTATTACTTTATCTTGCCTAATTATTCTGAGTAGAAATTCCAGTACTGTGGTGAATAGAAGTGGCAGGAAGGGATGTTGCTATCTTATTCCTGATCCTTGAGGAAAAGATTTTAGTTTTTCACTATTGAGTATGATGTTAGCTGTAAGCTTTTCATGTATAATCTTTATTTACTGAGGAGTTTCCATATATTACTAATTCTTTCAGTGTTTTTATTAAAAAAGGTGTTCATCTGGCTCTGGAACCAGATAAATGTTGACCTGATAGAATGGATTGGAATGTCCCCTTCTGGTTTTTAAACATTTTTGAAATATTTTGCAGAGGATTGGCATTAATTCTTCTTGAAATGTTTGGTAAAATTCTCCAGTGAAGTTATCTGGACCTGGAATTTTCTTTTTTGGGGGGTTTTTGATTACTGGTTGAATCTTCGTACTAGTTACAGGTCTCTTTGGATTTTTTATTTCTCCGTGATGCAGTATGGTGGTTTGTGTTTCTAGGAATTTATAAATTTATTCTAGGTTGCCCAGTTTTGTGGCATATGGTTGCTCACATTAGTGTCTTGTAATCTTTTTCATTTCTGTGGCATCTGTTGTACTGTCACTTCTTTTATTTATGATTTTAGTATTTGAGATTTCTCTTTTTTCTTAATAGAGCTGTGAGTTTTAAAATTTTTATTGATCTTTAAAAAAACAAACTCAGTGTGTTTTTTTTTCCTTTTTTTCTGGTCTTATTCTGCTTATCTCTGCTCTAATCTGTTATTTTCTTCCTTTTGCTTGGTTTGTCATTAGTTTTTTTTTTTCCCTACAGGTGTAATGTTAGGTTATTGATTTGAGATCTTTCTTCTTTTTAATTTAAGCATCTGCAGCTGTAAGCTTCCCTTTAGCATGGGTTTGAGATCTTCTTTTTAATTTAAGCATCTGCAGCTATAAGCTTCCCTTTAGCATGGGTTTGAGATCTTTCTTCTTTTTAATTTAAGCATCTGAAGCTGTAAGCTTCCCTTTAGCATGTGTTTCAGATCTTTCTTCTTTTTAATTTAAGCATCTGCAGCTGTAAGCGTCCCTTTAGCACTGCCTTTGTTGCCTTCTCCTGAGTTTGGGTATGTCATGGTTTTGTTTTCATTTGCGTGAACATTTTTTTGTCCTATTGTAATATAATTGTGTTGTTTTTAATAAAGGTAATTAATGAAATACATAATGAATTGTGCTTCTGTTTTTATAATATTTTGACCATTCTTAACTCAGAAATGTAAATTTTAGAAAAAAAATCCAAGCCAGGCACAGTGGCTCACACCTGTAATCCCAGCACTTGGGGAGACCGAGGTGGGTGGATCATCTGAGGTCAGGAGTTGGAGACCAGCCTGGCCAACATGGTGAAACCCTGTCTTTACTAAAAATAAAAAATATATATATAAAAGTTAGCTGGGTGTCATGGCGGGTGCCTGTAATCCCAGCTACTCTGGAGGCTGAGGCAGGAGAATCACTTGATTCTGGGAGGCGAAGGTTGCAGTAAGCTGAGATTACACCACTGCACTCCAGCCTGGGTGACAGAACGAGAGTCCATCTCAAAAAAAAAGAAAAAAAAATTCAGACATATTTATATGTATTTCAATTTAGAAACTGTGATCTCCTAAGTGTATTGACACAGCAACCTGACATAAAGATAAAGAATAATAAGCATATAACAAAATGGAAACTTGCAAATACCTGTTTTTTATTAATTTTTAATTATATATATTTAAAAATTGCCAGGTGCAGTGGCTTACACCTGTAATCCCAGCACTTTGGGAGGCTGAGGTGGGCAGATCACATGAGGTCAGGAGTTTGAGACCAGCCTGGCCAACATGGTGAAACCTCATCTCTATTAAAAATCAAAAAATTAGTCAGACGTGATAGCATGCATCTGTAGTCCCAGCTACTCGGGAGACTGAGGCAGGAGAATTGCTTGAACATGGGAGGCAGAGGTTGCAGTGAGCCAAGATAGTGCCACTGCACTCCAGCCTGGGTGACAGAGTGAGACTCTGTCTCAAAAAAATAAAAATTGCCTGGGTGCAGTGGCTCACACCTGTAATCGCAGCACTTTGGGAAGCTGAGACAGGCAGATCACGTCAGGAAATCGAGACCATCCGGGCTAACATGGTGAAACGCCATCTCTACTAAAGATACAAAAAATTACCCGGGCGTGTTGGTGGGTGCCTGTAGTTCCAGCTACTCCGGAGGTTGAGTCAGGAGAATGGTGTGAAACTGGGAGGTAGAGCTTGCAGTGAGCCGAGATTGCACCACTGGACTCCAGCCTGGGTGACAGAGCAAGACTCTGTCTCAAAATAAAATAAAATAAAACTAAGGTGTGGTTGACATACAAAAATTACACATATTTAATATACACCTTATGTGTTTGTGTGTGTGTGTGTATGTGTGTGACAGAGGTTTTACTCTTTTTGCCCAGGCTGGAGTGCAGTGACAAGATCTCAGCTAACTGCAACCTCCGCCTCCCGGGTTCAAGCAATTCTCCTGCCTCAGCCTCCTGAGTAGCTGGGATCGCAGGCGTGCGCCCCCACGCACAGCTAATTTTTGTATTTTTTTAGTTGAGACAGGATTTCACCATGTTGGCCAGGCTGGTCTCGAACTCCTGACCTCAGATGATTCACCTGCCTCAGCCTCCCAAAGTGCTGGGATTACAGGCGTGTGACACCGAATATATACATCTTAATGAGTTTAGAGATAAGTATTCGCCCCAGGACTCATCACAACAAATAATGCCGTAAACTTCACCATCACTTCCCATATATTTCTCATTCTCACTCTTTTTAAAAAATGAGACAGGGAGTGGTGGCTCACGCCTGTAATCCCAGCATTTTGGGAGGCCGAGGCAGGTGGGTCACAAGGTCAGGAGATCAAGACCATCGTGGCTAACACAGTGAAACCCAGTTTCTACTAAAAATACAGAAAATTAGCTGGGCGTGATGGCGGGCGCCTGTAGTCCCAACTACTCGGGAGACTGAGGCAGGATGATGGTGTGAACCCGGGAGGCAGAGCTTGCAGTGAGCCGAGATCGTGCCACCGCACTCCAGCGTGGACAACAGAGCGAGGCTCCATCTCAAAAAAAAAAATGAGATGACCATTTCACCTAAAATATACCCTCTTAAGTTTTTTTTTTTAAGAAGTGTACAAGACAGCCATGCATCAGAGATATATGTGGGTTTGGTTCCAGACCACTGCAATAAATTGAGTTATACAATTTCTTTTGGTTTCCCAGTGCATGTAAAAGTATGTTTATACTGTGCTGTATAAAGTGTGCAATAGCATATGACTACAAAGTGTGCATACTTTAATTTACAAATACTTTATTGTTAACAAGTGCTAACAGTCATCTGAGGCTTCAGAAAGCTGCAATCTTTTTTTGTGTGTGTGACAGGGTTTTACTCTGTGGCTCAGGCTGGAGTAATTGTAGCGTCAACCTCATGCTCAGTCAAACCCCCACCTCAGACTCCTGGCTAACTGGGACTGCAGGTGCATGCCACCATGTCCAGCTAATTTTTGTATTTTTTTTTTTTTGTAGAGATGGGGTTTTGCCATGTTGCCTTGACGTCCTGGGCTCAAGCAATCCACACACCTTGGCCTCCCAAGGTGTTGGGATGACAGGTGTGAGCCACTGCATCTGGCCAAGTTTCAGTCTTCTAGCTGATGGAGGGTCTTGCCTTAATGTAAGGTGGTGGTTGCTGAGCATTGTGGTGGCTGTGGTAATTTCTTAAAATAAGACAACATTGAAGTTTGCTGTGTCAATTGACTCTCCCTTTCACAAAAAATTATCTGTAGCATACGATGTTGTTTGATAGCTTTTTACCCACAGTAGAACTTTCAAAATTGGATTCAATCCTGTCAAACCTTTGTACTGCTGTACGAACTAAGTTTATGTATTATTGTAAATCATTGGGTTCGATCCTGTCAAGCCCTTCTTCTGCAGTACCAACTAAGTTTATTCTAAATCTGTTGTCATTTCAACAATATTTACACTGTCTTCACCACGAGTAGATTTCATCTCAAGAAACCACTTTCTTTGCTCATCCGTGGAAGCAACTCATCCACACACATTTTCTCCAGAGGCTGCTGCAGTCTCGCCACATCTTCAAGCTCTGTCTCTGATTCTAGTGCTCTTGTTATTTCCACCATATCTGCAGTTACTTCCTACACAGAAGTCGTGAACCCCTCAGTGTCATCTGTGAGGGTTGGAATAATCTTCCCAACTTCTCTCCCTCTCTTTTTTTTTTTTTTGAGATGAAGTCTTGCCTGGGCTGGAGTGCAGTGATGCGATCTCAGCTCACTGCAACCTCCACCTCCCGGGTTCAAGCAATTCTCCTGCCTCAGCCTCCCAAGTATTTGGGATTACAGTCACCCCCGACCAGGCCCAGCTAATTTTTTTGTGTGTTTTTAGTACAAACAGGATTTCACTATGTTGGCCAGGCTGGTTTCAAATTCCTGACCTCGTGATCCACGTGCCTTGGCCTCCCAAAGTGCTGGGGTTACAGGCGTGAGCCACTAAGCCCGGCCCCAACTTCTCCTAATGTTGCTATTTTGATCTTCTTTTTTAAATCATGAATGTTCTCAATGGCATCTAGAATGGTGAATCCTTTCTGGTAGGTTTTCAATTATTTTGCCCAGATCCATCAAAGGAATCACTTTCTAGAGAAGCTATAGCTTTATGAAATATATTTTTAAGTGATAAGACTTGAAAGTTGAAATTATTCTTTGATCCAAGGGCACCAGAATGAATGTTGGGTTAGTAGGCACGAAAACAATATTCAGCTCTTTATACATCTCTGTAAAAGCCCTTGAGTACCAGGGGCATTGTCAGTGAGCGGTAATACTTTGAAAGGAATCTTATTTCTTGAGCAGTAGGTGTCAACATTGGGCTTAAGATATTCAGTAAACCGTATTTGTAAACCGATAGTCTGTCATCCAGGCTTTGTTCCCATTTGTAGAGTACAGGCAGAGCTGTGTTTTATCATAATTCTTCAGGGCCCTTGGATTTTCAGAATAGTAAATCATCATTGGTTTCAAGTTAACATCACCAACTGCTTTAGCCCTTAACAAAAGTGTCAGCACGTCCTTTGAAGCCTTAAAGCCAGGTATCAACTCCTCTCTAGCTGGGAACATCTTAGATGGCATCTCCTTCTAGTAGAAGGCTGTTTTGTCTCCATTGCAAATCTGTTTATTGCAGCCATCTTAATCAGTTATCTTCTAGATAGCTTTCTGCAGCTTTTCCATCAGTACTTGCTGCTTTATCTTGCGCTTTTATGTGATGGAGATGACTTTTTTCCTTAAACCTCAAGAAACAAGTTCTTCTAGCTTCAGACTTTTCTTCTGCAGCTGCCTCACCTCTCTGAGTCTTCATAGAATTGAAGAGAGGCTGGGTGCGGTGGCTGTCACACCTGTAATCCTAGCACTTTGGGGGCTGAGGCAGACAGATCACCTGAGGTCGGGAGTTCGACACCAGTCTGACCAACGTGGAGAAACCCCATCTCTACTAAAAATACAAAAAATAGCCAGGCATGGTGGCGCATGCCTGTAATCCCAGCTACTCGGGATGCTGAGGCAGGAGAATGGCTTGAACTTAGGAGGCAGAGGTTGCGATGAGCCAAGATCGCGCCATTGCACTCCAGCTTGGGCAAGAAGAATGAAAATCTGTCTCACAAACAAAGAAAAAAAGTAAAAAGAGAGGCTTAGGCTTAATGGAATGTTTTTTTTTTATCTTCTATCTAGACCAATTAAACTTTCTTCATAACAGCAGCAAGATTGTTTAGCTTTTTATCATTCATGTGTTCACTGGAGTAGTAATTTAAATTTCTTTCCAGAACACTTCCTTTGCATTCACAACTTGGCTAAGTGTTTGTTGCATGAGGTCTAGCTACTGGCCTGTCTTGCTTACAGTATGCCTTCCTCACTAAGCTTAATTATTTCTTCCTTTTGGTTTAAAGTGACAGACATGCAACTCTTCTTTCACTTGAACATATAGAGGCTATTGTAGGGTTATTAATTGACCACATTTTAATATTAATAAAAAGAAGCCTGAGAAAAAGAGAGAGAAAGAGAAATGGCACGTTGGTGGGGCAGTCAGAACAAAGGCATTTGTCAATTGTTTGCTGTCTTATCCGGGTGTGATTTGTGGATCCCAAATCAATGACAACAGTAGCATTAAAGATCACTGATTACAGATCACCATAACAGATTCAATAATAAAAAGCTTAAAATACTCTGAGAATGACCGAAATGTGACACAGAGACGTGAAGTGAGCACGTGCTGTAGGAACAATGGTGCCAGTGAGACCTGCTTATTGCAGGGTGGCCACAAACCTTCAATATGTAAAACACATGGTCACAAAACACAATAAAGCAAAGTGCAGTGAAACAAGATGTGTCTGTCTTTTGATAGACTCTGACAATCTCTATCTTTGAATTGGTACGTTCATACTATTAACATTCCAAGTGATTATTGATATCATTGGATTAATATCTACTTTATTTGTTACTGTTTTCTATTCATTCTCCTCAGTCTTCATTCTTTTGTATACCACTCTTTTTCTGCCTTTTGAAGTTTTCATTGATGATTTTAGATGACTACATTTTCCCTGTCTTTCTTAGCATACACTTCTCTTTTTAAAACTTTTTTTTAACTACTTGCCACAGAATTTGCAATATACATTTACAACAAATTCAAGTCCACTTTCAAATAACACTATCCCACTATCCCACAAATAAGACTACCTGCTTAACAAACAAAACACCTAATTCCTCAGTAACATTTACAACCAATTCAAGTCCACTTTCAAATAACACTATCCCACTATCCCACAAATAAGACTACCTACTTAACAAACAAAACACCTAATTCCTCAATATACATTTACAACCAATTCAAGTCCACTTTCAGATAACACTATCCCACTTCACGGGTGACTACCTGCTTAACAAAGAAAACACCTGATTCCTCCCTCCCATCCTTCCATTCCATTCCTTGTATTAGTGTTACTCATTTCACTTGTGTATAAGCATACATAATCTATCTGTGTGTATTTGTTTTTGTCTATGAACTTCTTGGTCAGATCAATTAAGAATAAATACATAGGTTTTTATTGTACCATAATTCTTTCTTTAATGATCTTTTTTAAAAAATGTTGATCCAGGTTTCAGTTAAATATCTTTTGTTTCCCTCTAAAGAATTTCATTTAACATTTCTTGCAAGACAGGTCTCCTGGCAACAAGTTTCTTGAATTTTTATTTTTCTGAGGAAGGCCTTAATTCTCCTTCACTTTTGAAGGGTGGTTTCAGTGGGTACAGAAACTTAGGTTGGTGGGGTTTTTTCTGTCAACATTTTGAATTTTTCATTTCACTGTCTTCTTGTTTTCACAGTTTCTGCAATGTTGAATGCAGTTCTTATCTTTGTGTCTCTGTAGGTAAGGTGTTTTCTGCCCCATCTCTGCTTTCTTTCAGAATTTTCCTTTATCTTTTATTTCATATAGTTTGAAAATTATATGTCCAAGTGTAGGTTGTTGGCATTTATGCTGCCTGGTGTTCTCGGAGCTTCCTGGATCTTTGGTTTGTTGTCTGACATTAATACTGGAAGTTCTCAGACATCGTTGTTGCAGAACTTTCTTCTATTTCTTCTCCTCCTGGTATTCTCATTACTCTGTTTCACCTTTTGTAGTTGTTCCACAGTCTTGGATATCATCTTCTGTTCTTTTCAGTGTTTCTTTTCTTTAGTTTTCGAAGTTTCTGATCATAAATCCTCAAGCTCAGAGATTCTTTACTCAGCTGAGTCCAGTCTACTAATAAGCCATCAGAGGTATTCTTCAGTTATTTACCACATTTTTATCACTACATTATGTTGAAGGTTCTTACGTTGTCTGTCTTTCTGATTACATTACCCATCTACACTTTAATGCTGTCTACTTCATTCATTAGAGCCCTTAGCATATTGTCGAGAGGTTTAAAAAAAATCCAAAATCATATTTTTGTCTGCTTCTGAAGCTTGCTCTGTTGACACAAATTGTATTTTTTTTCTTTTTTTGGATTTTAGTATGCCTTGCAATTTTTCCCCTTTATTCTCATGCATGAAGTACCCACTAAAAGTGACTGCTGTTAGTATAGCTTCAGTAATGTGGTGATGAGGTGACAGGACAGGTGAGGCTTTCTTAGTCTCTTTAGGCTACTATAACAAAATACTTTAGACTGAGTAATTCATAAACAAGAGAGATTATTGCTCACAGATCTGGAGGCTGGAAAGTCCAAGACTAAAGGGCCAGGATATTTGGTGTTTGGTGAAGGTCAAACATTCAGACACTTGCAATGACTATAATGACAGCAGAAGTCTTCAGGAATCCTATGTGAGGGACAAACACTCAGAAGCCAGCTGGAGTGTTCTAGAATCCTATGTGAGGGACAAACATTCAGAGCCCAGCAGCAGTGTTCTGGAATCCTATGTGAGGGACAAACTTTCAGACCCTCGTAGCATGGTTCTGGAATCCTATGTGAGGGGCAAACATTTAGACCCTCGTAGCACTGTTCTGGAATACTATGTGAGGGACAAACATTCAGACCATGGCAGTTCTGAAATGCTATGTGAAGGAAAAACATTCAGACCCTCGTAGCAGTGTTCCTGAATCCTATGTGAAGGACAGACATTTAGACCCTCGAAGCAGTGTTCTGCAGTCTTAAGTGAGGGACAAACATTCAGACCCTCGTAGCAGTGTTCTGGAATCCTTTTTGAGGGACAGACATTGAGACCCCAGCAGCAGTGGTCTGGAATCCTATGTGAGGGACAAACATTCACACCCCAGCAGCAGTGTTCTGGAATCTTATGTGAGGGACAAACATTGAGACCCTCGTAGCAGTGTTGTGGAATCCTACGTGAGACACAGACATTCGTACCACAGCAGAAGTGTTCTGGAATCCTATGTGAGGGACAACCATTCAGACCACAGCAGGAGTGTTCTGGAATCGTATGTGAGGGACAAATATTCAGACCCTCATAGCAGTGTTCTGGAATCCTTTGTGAGGGAGAAACATTCAGACCCCAGCAGGAGGGTTCTGGAATCCTGTGTGAGGGACCAGCATTCAGACCCTTGTAGCAGTGTTCTGGAATGCTATGTGAAAGACAACCATTCAGACCCTCATAGCAATGTTCTGGAATCCTATGTCAGGGACATTCAGACCCCAGCCTCAATGTTCTGGAATCCTATGTGACAGACAAACATTCAGACCACAGCAGGAGCATTCTGGAATCCTAAGTGATGGACAAACGTTCAGACCACAGCAGTAGTGTTCTGCAATCCAATGTGAGGGACAAACATTCAGAGCCCAGCAGCAGTGTTCCGGAATCCTATGTGACAGACAAACCTTCCGACCACAGCAGGAGTGTTCTGTAATCCTATGTGAAGTACAAACTTTCAGGCCACAGCAGCAGTTTTCTTGAATCCTATGTGAGGGACAAACATTCAGACCCCAGGAACAGTGTTCTGAAATCCTATGTTAAGAGCAAGCATTCACATCCCAGCGTGAATGTTCTCGAATCCTATGTGAGGAACAAACATTCAGACCACAGCAGGAGTGTTCTCAAATCCTATGTGAGGAACAAGCATTCAGACCACAGCAGGAGTGTTCTGGAATACTATGTGAGGGACCAACATTCAGACCCTCTTAGCAGTGTTCTGGAGTCCTATGTGATGAATAAACTTGCAGACCACAGCAGGAGTCTTCTGGAATCCTATGTGAGGGTCAAACATTCAGACCCCAGCAGTAGTGTTCTGGAATCCTATGTGAGGGCAAACATTCAGACCCACGTGGCAGTGTTCTGGAATCCCATGTGAGGGACAAATATTCAGACCACAACAGGAGTGCTCTGGAATCCTATGTGAGGGAAAAACATTCAGAACCTTGTAGCAGTGTCCTGGAATCTTATGTGAGGGAGAGACATTTAGACCCTCGCAGCAGTGTTCTGGTATCCCATGTGAGGGACAAACATTCAGACCCTCCCAGCTGTGTTCTGGAATTCTATGTGAGGGAAAGACATTCAAACTCCAGCAGCAGTGTTCTGGAATCCGATTTGAGGGGCAGACATTCAGACCCCAGCAGCAGTGTTCTGGAATGCTATATGAGGGACAAACATTCAGACCACGGGAGCAGTGTTCTGGAATCCTACGTGAAGGACAAACATTAAGACCCTCGTAGCAGTGTCCTGGAATCATATGTGAGGGACAACCATTCAGACACCAGCAGAAGTGTTCTGGAATCCTAGGTGTGGGAAAAACATTCAGAACCTAGTAGCAGTGTTCTGGAATCCTATGTGAGGGACATACATTCAGACCACAGCAGCAGTGTTCTGAAATCCTATATGATGGACCAATATTCAGACCCTTGCAACAGTGTTCTGGAATACTAGGTGAGAGAGAAATATTCAGACCCTCGTAGTAGTGTTTTGGAATTCTATGTGACTGACAAACATTCAGACCCTCCCAGCCGTGTTCTGGAATTCTATGTGAGGGAAAGACATTCAAACTCCAGCAGCAGTGTTCTGTAATCCTATGTGAGGGACAAACATTCAGACCCCAGGAGCAGTGTTCTGAAATCCTATGTTAAGGGAAACAATGAGACCCCAGCATGAATGTTCTGGAATCCTATGTGAGGGACAAACATTCAGATCACAGCAGGACTGTTCTGGAGTCCTATATGAGGGATAAGCATTCAGACCCTCGTAGCAGTGTTCTGGAATCCTATGTGAGGGAGAAGCATTCAGAGCACAGCAGGAGTGTTCTGGAACCCCATGTTAGGGACAAACATTCAGAACCTCGTAATATTGTGCTGGAGTGTTCTGGAATCCCATGTGAGGGACAAACATTCAGATCCTCGCAGCAGTGTTCTGGAATTCTATGTGAGTGACAAACATTCAGACTCCAGCAGCAGTGTTCTGTATTCCTATGTGAAGGACAAACATTCAGAACCCAGGAGCAGTGTTTTGAAATCATATGTTGAGGGCAAACACACAGACCCTAGCATCAATTTTCTAGAATTGTATGTGAGGGACATACATTCAGACCCTCGCAACAGTGTTCTGGAATCCTAGATGGGGGACAAACATTCAGACCCCAGCAGCAGGCTTCTGGAATCCTATGTGGGGGACAAACATTCAGACAATGGCAGCAGTGTTCTGGAATTCTATGTGAGGGACAAACACTCAGAGCTTCGTAGCAGTGTTCTGGAATCCTACGTGAGGGACAAACACTCAGAGCCTCATAGCAGTGTTCTGGAATCCTATGTGAGGAACAAACAATCAGACCACAGCAAAGTGTTCTGGAATCCTTTGTGAGGGACAAACATTCAGATCACAGCAGCAGAGTTCTGGAATCCTATGTGAAAGACAAATATTCAGACCCTCGTAGCAATGTTCTGGAATCCTATGTGAGGGACAAACATTCAGACCCTTGTAGTAGTTTTCTGGAATCCTAAGTGAGGGACAAACATTCAGAACTTCATAGCCGTGTGCAGGAATCTTATGTGAGGGAGAGATATTTAGACCCTCGGAGCAGTGTTCTGGAATCCCATAGGAGAGACACATATTCAGACCCTCCCAGCAGTGTTCTGGAATTCTATGTGAGGGACAGACATTCAAACCCCAGCAGCAGTGTTCTGGAATGTGGTATGAGGTACAAACATTCAGACACCAGCAGAAGTGTGCTGGAATACTATGTGAGGGAGAAACACTCAGACCCTCGTAGCAGTGTTGTGGAATCCTATGTGAAGGACAAACATTCATACCCTCATAACAGTATCCTGGAATCATATGTGAGGGATAAACGTTGAGACTCCAGCAGAGGTGTTCTGGAATCCTAGGTGTGGGACAAACATTCAAACCCTCATAACAGTGTTCTAGAATCCTATGTGAGGGAAAAACTTTCAGACCACAGCAGCAGTGTTCTGGAATGCTACATGAGGGAGAAACATCCTGACCCTCCTAGCAGTGTTCTGCAATCCTATGTGAGGGACAGACATTTAGACCCTCGCAGCTGTGTTCTGGAGTCCTATGGGAGGGACAAACATTCAGACCCTCGCAGCAGTGTTCTGGAATCCTTTGTGAGAGAGAGACATTCAGACCCTCATAGCGGTGTTCTGGAATCCTGTGTGACAGACAAACATTCAGACCCTGGTATCAGCCTTCTGCCATCCTATATCAGGGACATGCATACCCCAGCCACAGTGTTCTGGAATCCTATGTGACAGACAAACATACAAACAACAGCAGGAGTGTTCTGGAATCCTATGTGAGGAACAAACATTTAGACCCTCGTAGCAGTGTTCTGGAATCCTATGTCAGGGACCAACATTCAGACCCTCGAAGCAGTGTTCTGGAGTGTTATGAGACAGATAAGCATTCAGACCGTCGTAGCAGTGTTCTGGAATCCTAAGTCAGGGACATTCAGACCACAGCAGAAATGTTCTGGAATCCTATGTGAGGCACAAACTTTCAGACCACAGCAGGCGTGTTCTGGAATCATATGTGAGGGACATTCAGACTATCGCAAGAGTGTTCTGGAATCCTATGTGAGGGGCAAACATTCAGACTCCAGCAGCGTTGTTCTTCAATGCTATCTGAGGGACAAACTTTCAGACAACAGCAGGAGTGTTCTTGAGTCCTATGTGAGGGACAAACATTCAGAACACAGCAGGAATGTTCTGAAATCCTATGTGAGGGACAAACATTCAGACCACAGCAGGAGTCTTCTGGAATCCGTTGAGAAGGAGAAATATTCAGGCCCTTGTAGCAGTGCTCTGGAATCTTATGTGAGGGACAAGCATGCAGAACACTGCAGGAATATTCTGAAATCCTATGTGAGGGACAAACATTCAAATGACAGCAGGAGTGTTTTGGAGTCCTATGTGAGTGTCAAACATTCAGACAACAGCAGGAGTGTTCTGGAATCCTATGTGAGGAGCAAACATTCAGACCCCAGCAGCAGTGTTCTGGAATCTTATGTGAGGAAAAAGCATTCGTACCCTCGTAGGGGTGTTCTAGAATCCTATGTGAGGGAAAAAAAAACTCAGAATCCAGGAGCACTGCTCTGGAATCCTTTGTGAGGGACAAATATTCAGTCCACAGCAGCAGTGTTCTGGAATGCTATGTGAGGGGCAAACATTCAGACCATAGCAGGAGAGTTCTGGAGTCCTATGTGAGGGACAAACATTCAGACCACAGCAGGAGTGTTATGGAATCCTACATGAGGGACAAATATTCAGACCACAGCAAGATTGTTCTGGAATGCTCTCTGAGGGACAAACATTGAGACCTCAGCAGCAGTGTTCTGGAATCCTATGTGAGGGACAAACATTCAGACCCCAGCAGCAGTGTTTTGGAATCTTATGTGATGTACCAACATTCAGACGCTTGTAGCAGTGTTCTGGAATCCTATGTAAGGGACAAACACTCAGAACCCACCAACAGTGTTCTGCAATCCTATGTGAGGGACAAATATTCAGACCCTCGTAGGGGTGTTCTGGAATCCTTTTTGAGGGACAAATGCTCAGAATCCAGCAGCTGTGTTCTGGAATCCTATGTGAGGGACAAACATTCAGACCAGTGCAGAATTGTTCTGGAATCCTATGTGAGGGACAAACATTCAGACTCCAACAGTAGTGTTCTTGAATGCTATGTGAGGGACAAACTTTCAGACCACAGCAGGAGTGTTCTGGAGTCCTATGTGAGGGACAAACATTCAGAACACTGCAGGAGTGTTCTGATTTCCTATATGGGGACAAACATTCTGACCACAGCAGGCGTGTTTTGGAATCCTATGTGAGGAACAAACAGTCAGACCACAGCAGGAGTGTTTTGTAATCCTGTCTGAGGGACAAACATTGAGACCCTTGTAGCTGTGTTCTGGAATCGTATGTGAAGAACAAACTTTCAGACCACAGCAGGAGTGTTCTGGAAACCTGTGTGAGGGAGAAACATTCAGACCACTGCAGGAGTGTTCTGCAATCCTATGTGAGGGACAAACACTCATTCCACAGCACCAGTGTTCTGGAATGTTATTTGAGGGGCAAACATTCAGACCATAACAGAAGAGTTCTGGAATCCTACATGAGGGACAAGCATTCAAACCACAGCAGGAGTGTTATGGAATCCTACATGACGGACAAGCATTCAGACAACAGCAAGATTGTTCTGGAATGCTCTCTGAGTGATAAACATTGAGACCCCAGGAGCAGTGTTCTGGAATCCTATGTGAGGGACAAACATTCAGACAACAAAAGGAGTGTCCTGGAGTCCTATGTGAGGGACAAGCACTCAGAAGCCCACAGCAGTGTTATGGAATCCTATGTGAGGGACAAACATGCAGACCTCAGCAGCAGTGTTCTGGGATCCTATGTGAGGGACAAACATTCAGACCCCAGGAGCAGTGTTCTTGGATGCCATGTGAGAGACAAATCTTCAGACCACAGCAGGAATGTGCTCGAATCCTATATGAAGGACAAGCATTCTGACTCTCGTAACAGTTTTCTGGAATCCTATGTGAGGGACAAACCTGCAGACCCCAGCAGCAGTGTTCTGGGATCCTATGTGAGGGACAAACATTCAGACCCCAGGAGCAGTGTTCTTGGATGCCATGTGAGAGACAAATCTTCAGACCACAGCAGGAATGTGCTCCAATCCTATGTGAAGGACAAGCATTCTGACTCTCGTAGCAGTTTTCTGGAATCCTATGTAAGGGAGAAACATTCAGACCCCAGTAACAGCGTTGTGAAATCTTATGTGAGGGACAAACATTCAGACCCTCCTAGCAGTGTTCTGGAATCCTATGTGAGGGACAAACATTCAGACCCTCATAGCAGTGTTCTGGAATCCTATGTGAGGAACAAACATTCAGACAACTGTAGGATTGTTCTGGAATCCTATGTGAGGGAGAAACGTTCAGACCCTCGTAACAGTGTTCTGGAATCCTATGTGAGGGACAAACATTCAGACCAGAGCAGGAGTGTTCTGGAATCGCATGTGAGGAACAAACTTTCAGAGCACAGTAGGAGTGTTCTGGAATCCTACGTGATGGACAAACATTCAGAACCCAGCAGCAGTGTTCTGGAATATTATGTGAGGGTCAAACGCTCAGACTCCAGCAGCAGTGTTCTTGAATGCTATCTCAGAGACAAACATTCAGACCACAGCAGGAGTGTTCTGGAGTCCTATGTGAGGGACAAACATTCAGATCACAGCAGGAGTGTTCTGAAATCCTAGGTGAGGGACAAACATTCAGATCACAGCAGGAGTCTTCTGGAATCCCTTGTGAAGGACAAACATTCAGACACTTGTGGTAGTGTTCTGGAATCCTATGTGAGGGACAAGCATGCAGAACACTGCAGGAGTGTTCTGAAATCCTATGTGAGGAACAAACATTCAGACCACACTAGGAGTGTTATGTAATCCTATGTGAGGGACCAACTTTCAGACCCCAGCAGCAGTGTTCTGGAATCCTATTTAGGGAAAATCATTCATACCCTCGCAGCAGTGTTCTGGAATCCTATTTGAGGGAAAAAAAACTCAGAATCCAGGAGCAATGTTCTGGAATCCTTTGTCAGGGAAAAACATTCAGTCCGCAGCAGCAGTCTTCTGGAATGTTATGTGAGGGACAAACATTCAGATCGTAGCAGAATTGTTCTGGAATCCTATGTGAGGGACAAACAGTCAGACCACAGCAGCAGTGTTATGGAATCCTATGTGAGGGACAGATATTCAGACCACAGCAGGAGTGTTCTGGAATGCTGTCTGAGGGACAAACATTGAGACCCCATTAGCAGTGCTCTGGAATATCATTTAATGGACAAACATTCAGACCCTTGTAGCAGTGTTCTGGAATCCTATGTGTGGGACAAACACTCAGAACCCAGAAGCAGTATTCTGGAATCCTAAGTAAGGGACAAATATTCAGACCCTCTTAGCAGTGTTCTGGAATCTTATGTGAATGACTATCGCTCAGAATCCAGCACCAGTGTTCTGAAATCATTTGTGAAGGAAAAACCTTCAGACCAGAGCAGTAGTGCTCTGGAATTGTATGTTAGAGACAAACATTCAGACTCCAGCAGCAGTGTTCCTGAATGCTATCTGAGGGACAAACATCCTAACAACAGCAGGAGTGTTATGGAGACGTATGTGAGGAACAAATATTCAGAAAACAGCAGGAGTGTTCTGGAATCCTATTTGAGGGAAAAAAAACTCAGAATCCAGGAGCAGTGTTCTGGAATCCTATGTCAGGGAAAAACATTCAGTCCACAGCAGCAGTCTTCTGGAATGCTATGTGAGGGACAAACATTCAGATCGTAGCAGAATTGTTCTGGAATCCTATGTGAGGGACAGTCAGACCACAGCAGCAATGTTATGGAATCCTATTTGAGGGGTAAATATTCAGACCACAGCAGGAGTGTTCTGGAATGCAGTCTGAGGGACAAACATTGAGACCCCAGCAGCAGTTCTCTGGAATATCATTTAATGGACAAACATTCAGACCCTTGTAGCAGTGTTCTGGAATCCTATGTGTGGGACAAACACTCAGAACCCAGAAGCAGTATTCTGGAATCCTAAGTGAGGGACAAATATTCAGACCCTCTTTGCTGTGTTCTGGAATCCTATGTGAATGACAAACGCTCAGAATCCAGCACCACTGTTCTGAACTCATATGTGAAGGACAAACCTTCAGACCAGAGCAGTAGTGCTGTGGAATTGTATGTTAGAGACAAACATTCAGACTCCAGCAGCAGTGTTCCTGAATGCTATCTGAGGGACAAACATCCTAACCACAGCAGGAGTGTTATGGAGACTTATGTGAGGGACAAATATTCAGAACACAGCAGGAGTGTTCTGGAATCTTATGTGAGGGACAAATTTTCAGAACACTGCAGGAGAGTTGTGAAATCCTATGTGAGGGACAAACTTTGAAACCAAAGCAGGAGTGTTCTGGAGTCCTATGTGAGTGTGAAACATTCAGACAACAGCAGGGGTGTTCTGGAATCCTATGTGAGGAACAAACATTCAGGCCACAGTAGGAGTGTTCTGGAATCCTATGTCAGGGACAAAGATTCAGACCCTCATAACAATGTTCTGGACTCCTATGTGAGGGACAAACATTCAGACCCCAGCAGCAGTTTTCTGGAATCCTCTGTGAGGGAAAAACATTCATACCCTCATAGTGGTGTTCTGGAATCCTCTGTGAGGGAATAAAACTCAGAATCCAGGAGCATTGTTCTGGGATCCTATGGGAGGGACAAATATTCACTCCACAGCAGGAGTGTTCTGGAGTCCTATGTGAGGGACCAACATTCAGACCATAGCAGGAGTGTTCTGGAATCCTATGTGAGGGACCAACATTCAGACCATAGCAGGAGTGTTCTGGAGTCCTATGTGAGGGACCAACATTCAGACCGTAGCAGGAGTGTTCTGGAGTCCTATGTGAGGGACCAACATTCAGACCACAGCAGGAGTGTTCTGGAGTCCTATGTGAGGGTCAAACATTCAGACCCTCCTAACAGTGTTCTGGAATTTTATGTGAGGCACATTCAGACCCCAGCAGCAGTGTTTTTGAATGCTGTGTGAGGGACAAACATTCAGAACCCAGCAACAGTGTTCTTGAATGCTATGTGAGGGACAAACATTCAGAACACAGCAGGAGCGTTGTGAAATCCTATGTGAGGGACAGACATTCACACAACAGCAGGAATGTTCTGGAATCCCTTGTGAAGGAGAAACATTCAGACCGTTGTAGCAGTGTTCTGGAATCCTATGCGAGCGACAGACATTCAGAACACAGCAGGAGTGTTCTGGAGTCCTATGTGAGGGTCAAACATTCAGACCCTCGTAACAGTGTTCTGGAATCCTATGTGAAGGACAAACACTCAGACTTGAGCAGCAGTTTTCTAGAATCTTATTTCAGGATCAAATATTCAGACCCTCGTAGCAGTGTTCTGGAATCCTATGTGAGGGACAAACACTCAGAACCCAGCAGCAGTGTTCTGGAATCCTATGTGAGGGAGAAACATTCAGACAACAGCAGGAGTGTGGTGGAATTGTGTGTGAGGAACAAGCATTCAGACCACAGTAGGAGTGTTCAGGAATCCTGTGTGAGGGACAAACATTCAGACCCTCATAACAGTGTTATAGAATCCCATATGAGGGACAGACACTTAACCTAGCAGCAGTGTTCTGGAATCCTATGTGAGGGACAAACATTCAGACCACAGCAGGAGTGTTCTGGAAACCTGTGTGAGGGACAAACATTCAGACCACAGCAGGAGTGTTCTCCAATCCTATTTGATGGACAAATATTCAGACCCTCGTAGCACTGTTCTGGAATCCTGTGTGAGGGACAAACCTTCAGACCCCAGCAGCAGTGTTCTGGACACCTATGTGAAGGACAAACATTCAGACCCTCTTAGCAATGTTCTGGAATTCTATGTAAGGGACAAACACTGAGAACCCAGCAGCAGTTTTCTGGAATCCTATGTGAGTGACAAACTTTTAGACCACAGCAGGAGTGTTCTGGAGTCCTATGTGAGAGACAAATACTCAGAACCCAGCAGCAGTGTTCTGGAATCCGATGTAAACGACAAACATTCAGATGCCAGCAGCATTTTTCTGGAATCCTTTGTGAGGGACAAACATTCAGACCCCAGCAGCAGTGTTCTTGAATGTTATGTGAGGGACAAACATTCACACCACAGCTGGAGTGTTCTGGGATCCTATGTAAGGGAGAAGCATTCAGACACTCATAGCTGTTTTCTGGAATCCTATGTGATGGACAAACATTCAGACCCACGTAGCAGTGTTCCAGAATCCTACGTAAGGGAAAAACATTCAGACCCCAGTATCAGCGTTCTGGAATTCTATGTGAGGGACAAACATTCAGACCCCAGCAGCAGTGTTCTGGGATCTCATGTGAGGGACAAACATTCATAGCATCGTACCCGTGTTCTGGAATCCTATGTGAGGGACAAACACTGAGATCCCAGCAGCAGTGTTCTGGAATCCAATGTGAGGGACAAATATTCCGACCCCAGCAGTAGTGTTCTGGAATCCTATGTGAGGGACAAACATTCAGATCCCAACAGCAGTGTTCTGAAATCCTATGTGAGGGACAAACATTCAGAGCATCGTAGCCATGTTCTGGAATCCTATGTGAGAGACAAACACTGAGATCCCAGCAGCAGTGTTCTGGAATCCTATGTGAGGTACAAACATTCAGACCAGAGCAGGAGTGTTCTGGAATTTTATGTGAGGGACAAACATTCAGACCACAGCAGGAGTGTTCTGGAATCCTTTGTGTAAGACGAACATTCAGACCCTCATAGCAGTGTTCTGTAATCCTATGTGAGGGACAAATATTCAGACCCCAGAAGCAGTGTTCTGTAATCCTATGTGAGGGACAAACATTCAGACCCCAGAAGCAGTGTTCTGGAATCCTATGTGAGGGACAGACGCTGAGAACGTAGCAGCTGTGTTCTGGAATCTTGTGTGATGGACAAACATTCAGACCACAGCAGGAGTGTTCTGGAGTCCTTTGTGAGGGAGAAACAATCAGGCCACAGCAGGAGTGTTCTGATATCCTATGAGAGGGGCAAACATTCAGACCCTCCTAGCAGTGTTCTGGAATCCTGTGTGAGGGACAGACACTCAGAACCTAGCAGCAGTGTTCTGGAATCCTATGTGGAGGACAAACATTCATACCACAGGAGAAGTGTTCTTTAATCCTATATGAGGAACAAATATTCAGACCCTCATAGCACTGTTCTGGAATCCTATGTGAGGAACAAACCTTCAGAAGACAGCAGCAGAGTTGTGGAGTCCTATGTGAGGGACAAACACTCAGAACCCAGCAGTAGTGTTCTGGAATCCTCTGTGAGGGACAAACATTCTGACCCTTGTAGCAGTGTTTGGGAATCCTATGTGAGGGACAAACGCTCAGAACCCCCCAGCAGTGTTGTGGAATCCTGTGTGAGGGACAAACATTGAGATCACAGGAGGTGTGTCCTGGAATCCTTTGTGAGATTCAGACCACAGCAGCAGTGTTCTGGAATCTTATGTAAGGAACAAACTTTCACACCATAGTAGGAGTGTTCTGGATTCCTATGTGCTGGACAAACATTCAGACCATAGCAGGAGTGTTTTGGAATCCTCTGTGAGGAACAATCATTCAGACCACAGCAGGAATGTTCTGGAATCCTTTGTGAGGGACAAACAATCAGACCACAGCAGGAGTGTTCTGGAATCCTACGTAAGGGACAAACATTCAGATCCCATCTGCAGTGTTCTGGAATCCTATGTGAGGAACAAACATTCAGTCCACAGCAGCAGTGTTCTGGAATCCTATGTGTGGGCAAACACTAAGAACCCAGCAGCAGTGTTCCAGAATCCTATGTGAGGGACAAACAATCAGACCCTCTTAGCAGTGTTCCTGAATTCTATGTGAGAGAGAGACACTTGCAACCCAGCAGCAGTGTTCTGGACTCCTATGTGAGGGTCAAACATTTAGACCACACTAGCAGTGTTCTGTAATCCTATGTGAGGGAAAAACTTTCAGAGCACAGCAGGAGTGGCCTGGAATCCTATGTGAGGGAGAAACATTCAAACCCTCGTAGCAGTATTCTGGAATCCTATGTGAGGGACAAACTTTCAGACCCCAGCAACTGTGTTCTGGAATCCTATGTGAAGGAGAAATGTTCAGACCACAGCATCAGTGTTCTGGAATCTTAAATGAGGAACAAACATTCAGACCACAGCAGGAGTGTTCTGGAATCCTATGTGAGGGACAAACACTCTGACCACAGCAGGAGTGTTCTGGAATCCTACGTAAGGGATAAACATTCAGATCCCATCTGCAGTGTTCTGGAATCCTATGTGAGGGAAAAACTTTCAGACCACAGCAGGAGTGTTCTGTAATCCTATGTGAGGGGGAAACATTCACACCCTCGCCATGGTGTTCTGGAATGCTATGTGGGGGACAAACCATTCAGACCCTCGTAGCAGTGTTTTGGAATCCTATGTCAGGGACAATCACTCAGACCATAGCAGCAGTGTTCTGGAATGCTATGTGAGGCACAAGCAGACCACAGCAGCAGTGTTCTGGAATCTTATGTGAGGGCAAACAGACCCCTGCAAACAGGGATAATTTGACCTCCTCTTTTCCTAATTGAATACCCTTTATTTCTTTCTCCTGCCTGATAGCCCTGGCCAGAACTTCCAACACTACTTTGAATAGGAGTGATGGGAAAGGGCATCCCTATCTTGTGCCTGTTTTCAAAGGCAATGCTTCCAGTTTTTGCCCATTCAGTATGAAAATGTCTGTGTGTTTGTCATGAATAGCTCTTATTATTTTTACATACATCCCATCAATACCTAATTCATTGAGAGTTTTTAGCATGAAGGGCTGTTGAATTTTGTCAAAGGCCTTTTCTGCCTGTATTGAGATAATCATGTGGTTTTTGTCTTTGATTCTGTTTGCATGCTGGATTACGTTTACTGATTTGCATATATTGAACCAGCCTTGCATCCCAGGGATGAAGCCATCTTGATCATGGTGGATAAGCTTTTTGATGTGCTGCTGGATTCAGTTTGCCAGTACTTTATTGAGGATTTTTGCATCGATGTTCATCAGGGATATTGGTCTTAAATTCTCTTTTTTGGTTATGTCTTATCCAGGCTTTGGTATCAGGATGATGCTGGCCTCATAAAATGAGTTAGGGAGGATTCCCTCTTTTTCTCTTGATTGGAAGAGTTTCAGAAGGAATGGCAACTTCTCCTCCTTGTACCTCTGGTAGAATTAGGCTGTGATTCCGTCTTGTCCTGGACTTTTTATGGTTGGTATGCTATTATTGCCTCAATTTCAGAGCCTGTTATTGGTCTATTAAGAGATTCAACTTCTTCCTGGTTTAGTCTTGGGAGGGTTTATGTATTGAGGAATTTATCCATTTCTTCTAGATTTTCTAGTTTATTTGCATAGAGGTGTTTACAGTATTCTCTGATAGTAGTTTGCATTTCTGTGGGATTGGTGGTGCTATCCCCTTTATCATTTTTTATTGTGTCTATTTGATTCTTCTCTCTTTTCTTCTTTATTAGTCTTGCTAGTGGTCTATCAATTTTGTTGATCTTTTCAAAAAACCAGCTCCTGGATTCATTGATTCTTTGAAGGGTTTTTGGTCTCTATCTCCTTCAGTTGTGCTCTGATCTTAGTCATTTCTTGGAAGTCAAATTGTCCCTGTTTGCAGATGACATGTTTGTATATCTAGAAAACACCATCATCTCAGCCCAAAATCTCCTTAAGCTGGTAAGCAACTTCAGTGAGGTCTCAGGATACAAAATCAATGTGCAAAAATCACAAGCATTCTTATACAGCAATAACAGGCAAACTGAGAGCCAAATCATGAATGAACTCCCATTCACAGTTGCTTCAAAGAGAATAAATTACCTAGGAATCCAACTTACAAGGGATGTGAAGGAGCTCTTCAAGGAGAACTACAAAACACTGCTCAACAAAATAAAAGAGGACACAAACCAATGGAAGAGCATTCCATGCTTATGGATAGGAAGAATCAATATCGTGAAAATGGCCATACTGCCCAAGGTAATTTATAGATTCAATACCATCCCCATGAAGCTAACAATGATTTTCTTCACAGAATTGGAAAACACCACTTTAAAGTTCATATGGAACCAAAAAAGAGCCCACATGGCCAAGTCAATGCTAAGCTAAAAGAACAAAGCTGGAGGCATCACGCTACCTGACTTCAAACTATACTACAAGACTACAGTAACCAAAGCAGCAAGGTACTGGTACCAAAACAGAGATATAGAGCAATGGAACAGAACAGAGCCCTCAGAAATAATACCACACATCTACAACTATCTGATCTTTGACAAACCTGACAAAAGAAATTGGGAAAGGATTCCCTATTTAACAAATGGTGCTGGGAAAACTGGCTAGACATATGTAGAAAGCTGAAACTGGATCCCTTCCTTACACCTTATACAAAAATTAATTCAAGATGGATTAAAGACTTAAATGTAGACCTAAAACCATGAAAACCCGAGAAGAAAACCTAGGCAATACCATTCAGGACATAGGCATGGGCAAGGACTTCATGTCTTAAACATCCAAAGCAATGGCAACAAAAGCCAAAATTGACAAATGAGATCTAATTAAACTAAAGAGCTTCTGTGCAGCAAAAGGCATACTAGTGAACAGGCAACCTACAGAATGGGAGAAAATTTTTGCAATCTACTCATCTGACAAAGGGCTAATATCCAGAATCTACAAAGAACTCAAACAAATTTAGAAGAAAAAAACCCATCAACAAGTGGGCGAAGGATATGAGCGGACACTTCTCAAAAGAAGACATTTATGCAGCCAACAGACCCATGAAAAAATGCTCATCATCACTCGCCATCAGAGAAATGCAAATCAAAATCACAATGAGATATCATCTCACACTAGTTAGAATGGCGATCATTTAAAAGTCAGAAAACAACAGGTGCTAGAAAGGATGTGGAGAAATAGGAACACTTTTACACTGTTGGTGGGACTGTAAAGTAGTTCAACGATTGTGGAAGACAGTTTGGTGTTTCCTCAGGGATCTAGAGCTAGAAATACCATTTGACCCAGCCGTCCAATTACTGGACATATACCCAACAGAATATAAGTCATGCTGCTATAAAGACACATGCACACGTATGTTTATTGTGACGTTACTCACAATAGCAAAGACTTGGAACCAACTGTAATATCCAAATGTCCAACAATGATAGACTGGATTAAGAAAATGTGGCACATATATGCCAGGGAATACTATGCAGCTTTAAAAAATGATGAGTTCATGTCCTTTGTAGGGACATTGATGAAGCTGGAAATCATCATTCTCAGCAAACTATCACAAGGACAAAAAAACAAACACCACATGTTCTCACTCATAGGTGGGAATTGAACAATGAGAACACATAGACACAGGAAGGGGAACATCACACACCATGGCCTGTTGTGGGGTGGGGGGAGGGGGGATAGCATTAGGAGATATACCTAAGGTAAATGACGAGTTACTGGGTGCAGCACACCAACATGGCACATGTATGCAAACATAACAAACCTGCACGTTGTGCACATGTAACCAAGAACTTAAAGTATAATAAATATATATATATATATATAAATAATTCAATACGGAAAATATAATTAAAAAAAGAAAGAAAATGTGGTATACTATTTGGCAGTAAATAAAGAAAACCCTGGCGTTTGTAAACAACATGGATGAACCTGGAGGACAATATGTTAAGTGAAATAGGGCAGACACAAAAAGACAAATATATCATGACATGACTTCTACTGATATGTTAAAAAGTTGATCTCATAGAATTACAAAGTACAATGGTGGGTATCAGAGCTAGGGGTAAAGGGGAGTTGCAGTGATGTTAATCAGAGGATACATACTTAGAGTTACACAGAAGGAATACATTTCAGGAGATGTATTGTAGAGCAAGGTGATTGTAATTGATGATGACATATTGTATTCTTGAGAAATAGAAAGTTAATGTTATGTGTATTCATCACAAAAATGATAACTATGTGAGTTGATGTATTTGTTAATTAGCTAGATTTGACCTTTTCACAATGTATGCATACTTTGTCCTTCACATAGGATTCCAGAACGCTACTGCATTGGTCTGAATGTTTGTCCCTCACATTTTACATTACAAAAAACTTGCAATGTCCTATGTCAATTAAAAATAAATATTAATAAAGTAATTTTAAAAAGACAAAAAGTAAAAGAAAAAAACAGACCACAACAGCAGTGTTCTGGAATCCTGTGTGGGTGACAAACATTCAGAAGCCAGTAGCAGTGTTCTGGGATCCCATGTGATGGACAAACATTCAGACATTCCCAGCAGTGTTCTGGAATCCTATGTGTGGGACAAACACCCAGACCCCAGCAGCAGTGTTCTGGAATCCTATGTGAGGTACAAACATTCAGACCCTGGAATCAGTGTTCTGGAATCCTGTGTGAGAGACAAACATTCAGATCATTGCATTAGTGTTCTGGAATCCTATGTGAGGGAAAAACTTTCAGACCACAGAAGCCATGCTCTAGAGTCCTATATGACGGACATTCACACCCTCATAGCAGTGTTCTGGAGTCTTATGTGAGGGACACGCATTCAGACCACATCAGGAGGGTTCTGGAATCCTATGTGAGGGACAAATAATCAGACCCTCATAGCAGTGTTCTGGAATCTTATGTGAGGGACAAACATTCAGACCCCAGCAGCAGTGCTCTGGAATCCTACGTGAGGGACAATCATCCAGATCATTGCGTTAGTGTTCTGGAATTCTAAGTGAGGGAAAAACATTCATAACCCAGCAGCAGTGTTTTGAAATGCTATGTGAGGGGCAAACATTCAGACCCCAGCAGCAGTGTTCTGAAATCCTACGTGAGGGAGAAACATTCAGATCATTGCATTAGTGTTCTGCAATCCTATGTGAGGGACTAACACTCAGACCCGGGGAGCAGTGTTCTGGAATCTTATGTGAGGGCAAACATTCAGACCCCAGCAGCAGTGTTCTGGAATCCTATGTGAGGGACAAACATTCAGACCATGGCAGCAGTGTTCTAGAATCCTATGTAACGGACAAACATTCATAACCTCGTAGCAGTGTTCTGGAATCCTATGTGAGGGACAGACTTTTAGACCCTCGCAGCAATGTTCTGGAAAGCTATGTGAGGGACAAACATTCAGACCCTCGCAGCAGTGTTCTGGAGATCTATGTGAGGGACAAACATTCAGACCTCAGCAGCAGTGTTCTGGAATCCTATGTGAGGGACAAACATTCAGATCATGACAGCAGTGTTCTGGAGTCCTATGTAACGGACAAATATTCAGAACCTCGTAGCAGTGATCTGGAATCCTATGTGAGGGACAAACTTTCAGACCCCAGCAGCAGTGTTATGGAATCTTATGTGAGGGACAAACATTCTGACCCTCTTATCAGTGTTCTGGTATTCTATGTGAGGGACAGACATTCAGACCCCAGCATCAGTGTTCTGGAATCCTGTGTGAGGGACAAACATTCAGACCCCAGGAGCAGTGTTCTGAAATCCTAGGTTAAGGATAAACATTCGGACCCCAGCATCAATGTTATGGAATCCTTTGTAAGGGACAAACATTCAGACCTTCATAGCAGTGTTCTGGAATCTTATGTGAGGGAGAAACATTCAGACCTCAGGAGCAGCGTTTTGGTACCATATGTGAGGGACAAACACGCAGGCCCCAGCAGCCGTGTTCTGGAATGCTATGATTGGGTTTATACTGTGAACCTCAGAAGTGTTCCTCTGTTTAATTAATTTTCCACCTTAGGTGGAACATGACTAGAATGGGCTACAGTGGAAGGGGTAATTTCCTTCCCCTATGTTATTTAGTCTCTGATTATACTAGAGCAGATTAGGCTGAAGTTAAGTAGTTTCTCCTGTGGACAAGCCTTGTTAAGAACTTGGTGCTCTGGCATATTTCAAACTGGTTTTCCTTTTTCCTTCTGAAAGATTGAAGCAGGAGTGGAGTTTCCTCAGGTATTTGTCACAGGAGCCTGGTGAAGCTCCATGAGACAATTTTACAGTATTGTTCCTCCTCCCCAACAGTAACTCTATCTCTTGTAGTTTTTACCACTTAGAGTTGTCCACGCGGATCCTCCAGCCGTTCACCAGTTACGGTTTGAGATTTTCTACTCCAGCACTGGTTCCAAGGTTGGTTTCAGTAGTGAGTCCATGTTCCTTTAAGGCATTAAGTCCTATATTCACTTCTTTGTCTCTGCAATCCTAGGGGTATTGGTTTGCCCTGTGTCCTCCCCTAAGTTTCAAATCTAGAAAGAATTATTGATTTTTTAGTCTCTTCAGCTTTTTATTTCTTGTTAAGATTAATTGTGTCATATTAATTTGTTGTTAAGCTTGTTATAAAAATTAATTATTGTAAAGTAATTATTGATTACTTCCAAGCTTCTTACATGCAGAAATAGGAATCTGGAATATGTTTCTAAAACTATCTTCTCAATGCCTATGTGCACAGTTAAAGGATTTTTTTCCACAGGAATATGATCAAGATGAATTATATTAGACTTCTGAATATTGAACTTTTCTTTATTCGTGGAATAAACTCAGAAAGTTCCTTCTTGGTCTTCACAGTCTATTTCTCTTCCAGTGTAAATGTTAGTGTTTCTGTAGATTCTGTACTTGTTTCTTTTATTCTTTCCTTCTCTTATTTTCATTTGGTCTGATGGATTCAGGTAGCATTGAAATTCTGGTAATTTCCAAATATTTATCTTTAGTTTGATCTCTCTTCTGAACCACTGGAGCTATATTCCCAATTGCCAGTTGAACATTCCCACATATGGAACGTCAGATGTTTCACACATGATATGTCCAGGTCTGTGTCACTTCTGGTTATCATATTCTTTTATTTTTTTTGCAAATTTCACTTCACAGCACCAGTACCAAACTAGCTGGATCAGGGCAGATAACTTGGAAACAAAACTCCCGTTTTTACCCACTGCACAGTAAATTGGTACCAAATCCTGTTTCTACATTTTTTTCCTTTTAAGAACTGCTTCCCTATTGTGTATTCTTACACTCCGTGTCCTCATGTACTGATGTAGGTGGTCATCTGTCTTCCTCTTTACTCCCTTCTGGCTTTCCCTTAAGCCCTTTCCCATTCTCTTTCTCAGGGATGGCTGTTAAAATGCCAATATGGTCATGTAACTTTTCTGTCCTTACTGGACCTCCTTATTTACACCTGTTTGTGAAGTGGCTGTGTTCACCCTGGGTGGATACAGAAATTTTTTGTCCCGTAGAAAGGAAATTTTGAAATGCCAGTGTATATGATTTTAATTAAGTATACTCACCCTTTTGTTTCTATGGGTTTTGCATCTGCAGATTCAGCCAACTTCAGATTGAAAATATTCCCACAAAAATAGATGGTTGTCTCTGTGCAGAGAATCTACAGAAATTTTTCTTGTCATTATTTCCTAAACAGTACAGTATAACAGCTATTTATGTAGCATTATATTGTCTTCAGTATTATATGTAATCTAAAGATTTTAAGTTCAGTCGTGCATGGCTTACTGATGGGATTACTTTCTGAGAAATGCAACCTTAGGTAATTTCATTGTTTTGTGAACATCATAGTGTTACAAAAACCTACATGGTATGTATATTTTTATTTATATGTTTTTGGTATATGGGTAACCAGATGGCTCAGAGCCATTATTGAATATCATTTTCTGCACTTCATCTGCAATGCCAATATCAGGTTTCCGTGTATGTTTCATCATCATCTTATGAGACTACTGTGATATACATGTTTCATCATTGACTGAAATGTTATTATGCAGCTCATGACTGTATACAGGAGTATGTGCATAAGTTATATGTAAATATGAGACTTGTTTATATAACAGAGTTATCCAATCTGTGGATTTTGGTATCTGGGGGTATCTTGGAATCAGTCCCCATGGATACTGAGGAAGTAATGTAATGTAAAAATGATAGGTGCATAAAAATTTTTGAAATTAAGTCAAATATTTAAATGCAGAATCACTGCATAATCAATTCCTTAAATATTGCATTTAGCTTTCATCACTGCCCAGGATCATTCATCTAGGCATGGTGCTGTCCAGAGTTCCATTAAAGTGATGTGTGTTCGCTTTGCCTTTGTCAGTAGACTTCTGATATTTTCTCATAGTCATGAGAATTCATGGTTCATGTGGAAGAGCCAATCAACTGATTTTTCAGTAAAGTCGAATCTCTTGATGCAAAATAAACAAAATTTATTTTCTCCTTCTCTCTTATCTTAGTCTGCATTGAACTTGTGTCTCAATGAGTTCACCTAAACATTATTCCCAGTATGTGTTTATACTTATATATTCATAACCAGATCATGAGCTCCTTTGAGGAGTAGAATTTTATTCCTCTTTTTTTTTGAGAGATAGGCTCTCTGTTGGCCAGGCTGGAGTGCAGTGGTGTGATCATCACTCACTGCACTGTCAAACTCTTGGATTTGAGCAATCCTTCAGCCTCAGCTTCCAGAGTAGCCAGGACTACAGGCATCCAGCATTATGCCTATATTTTTTTATTATTTTTGAAGAGAGAGCGTCTTGCATTTTGTTTATACTTTTATCCCTAGCAACAAGGATGTTTCTAGATCTATAAGGTGAACTTTGTAATATAATTTTATTAATTCATAAGTTATTACAGTGGAAGAATATTTCTACTGTGATTACTCCTTCTCCCACCATAAACAGTACAAAACAAACTACGTCTTATCTAAAATACATATAAGACACATGGACACACAAAAGAGTGAATTCCCAGATTCTTGTTCTTTTGACCCTGGGCTGATGCTTTGACTTGAGGAAATATGTGCCATTACAGGGGTTGGTGTCCTTTGAAGATGTGGCTCTGCACTTCACCTGGGAGGAGTGTCAGGACCTGGATGATGCTCAGAGGACCTTCTACAGGGACGTGATTGTGGAGACCTACAGCAGCCTGGTATCATTGGGTGAGTGAAACTTCCCAGTAACTCCCAGGAATGTGTATTGTTGTTGGTAAATATAGAAACCCTTTTAAGGTATAATAATATTTACTTGTAAGATTCTGGTTGATGAAAAATGTGTCATTATTCTAATGAAATGTTCAAATTGGCTCCTTCATTACACAGTCCCTGAAGCCCAGCTTTTGTCATTCTGAAAAGGATTTGACTTAGTGGTTTGACAAAGTATTCCCTTGTTTCTCGTTACCAGGGCATTGCATTACCAAACCTGAGATGATCTTCAAGCTAGAGCAAGGAGCAGAGACATGGATAGTAGAAGAAATACCAAACCTGAGACTTTCAGGTCAGTCAGTGAATACTGGGGTGGGAGGCCTGGAGGAGTAATGCCCAGCAGATTTTGGTAGTGTTATCTTGTTTTCACCACTTTTTTCCCTAGGTCTTCGACCTGAAGACTGTTGGTCTGCATTAAATGTCCATTATATCGTCCCCAGGGGTAACTGTCATGCATATATCCCAGTCTCTTATTTTTCTGAGTATCTTCTTCTATTTACCCCAAATCCAATCCCTGCCATCCTCTCTTTAGGCCTTTTTCTTTGCTATTTATTTTCTCTATTTCCCCCTTTTCCTCTATTCTGATGTAGTGTCTTAAAAAATTTTTTTAGACATTTATGCATTTATTTATCCTTTGAATGTATCTTAAGCAATTTTTGAGAATCAGTCATTATAACAATGATGATGAAAATAGTGTTTCTTTTTAAGCTGTAGCTTTATTCTTCTTGTTTTATTTTTTATTAAACAGATGGTTCTCACTCTGTTTCTCAGACTCAAGTGCAGTGGCATGATTATAGTTGACCGTAACGATGAACTCCTGGGATCAAGTGTTCCTCACAGCCTAGCCTCCCAAGTAGCTAGGACTACAGGTGTGTGCCACCACACCTGGCTAATTTTTTATTGTTTGTGGAGATGAGGTCTTGTTCTATTGCCCAGGCTGGTCTCGAACTTCTGGCCTTAATTGATCCTTTTAGACTCCCACCCACACACACACACACACAATAGTAGCTGAGTATGGTGACATGGGTTTGTAATCCCAGTTTTTATACTTGGGAGGCTGAGGTGGAAGGATTGCTTGAGCTCAGGAGCTTGAAGCTTCAGTGACCTATGATAGCAACACTGCACTCCAGCCTGGGTAACAGAGTAAGATCCTGTCTCAGAAAGAAATTATGAAGCTGAGGAGAACCCATCATAGGGGCCTGGATAGGGGTGGTGCTGGACTTGGGAGGAGAACCAGAAGATTCTGGGTCTCAAGTCCAAAGAAACCAATGATTTCCTGTTGAAGGGCTCAGATTTCTGTTTGAGAGTGGAGTTTGTAGTTACCATTTGAAGATGAGAAATGTACAGGAAACTTCATTTTTATATATAGCTGTGTGACATCTGAAACTCCAAAACACAAAATAAAACCCTTCAAAAATGGTGAATTATTAAGCAGGGGTGTGTGAGTGGAGAGGGACAGAGCTGTTGATCTCAGAAGGAACCAGAAATACACTTTTCAAAGATGACGGGCACAGACTGAGTTGCAGAACCAATCCTTCAGATCACTAGTGTGGTTTTTTGACTGGAGCTTCTTTGCCTATTATGGTTCTGGGAAGCAGGAGATGCCATGTTTAAGTAGGAATTTGCCAGGATCTGTTTATGTTTAACATGGGGAATAAGATATTTTCTGCTTGGAAAACCTCCAGACACATTTAACCATTCTCAGGGAGGAGTGAAAAGTTAACATATAGGCAAAATCCTGTCTACAAGCTACTTCCATGCTTAGGAGACAGAAAAATGGCCATCTCCTGTACCTGCCAGTTGCTGACCCAAGAAAAACTGGCTATCTTCAAAGAAGAATGATGAAAAAATAGCAACTATTAAAACAGCCACTATTGTTATATGAATAAATAGAAAAAAAGAGAGAAAACAAATGACAGATAATGAGCACTTATTAAAACCTATGAGTAGTAAGTAGATGCATATTATTACCAAATAATTCTTTATGAAATAAAAAAGAAAAGGAAAACTTCAAATTGCAAAGAAAAACTCAATTGAACATTAGAAAATATACTGATTTATTACATGATGTCAGAAGGAACAGGAACCATATGCATATAAAACCAATACCCATTATTAATTTTTATCAAATCTTACTCCACTGGGATAGGAAGTAATTTTTTTCACCTTTACACAAGCATTCTGTAAGACATGCTCCTGTGTGGTTCATGGATACGTTTTTCTCATTTCAGCTGTCCAAATCACTGATGACCTTATTGAAAGGAGCCATGAAAGTCATGATAGATTTTTCTGGCAAATTGTAATCACCAACAGCAACACATCAACTCAGGAGAGAGTTGAATTAGGAAAAACATTTAATTTTAACTCAAACCATGTTTTAAATCTGATTATAAATAATGGAAACAGTTCAGGAGTGAAGCCTGGGCAGTTTAATGTTTGCCAGAACGTGCTTTTCCCTATTAAGCCTGGTGAGACACAGTCTAGAGAGAAACCTCATGTCCCTGATATAACCAGGAGATCCCACAGACATCATGAACATCTTACTCAGCATCACAAGATTCAAACTCTGCTGCAGCCTTTTCAATGTAATGAACAAGGGAAAACCTTCAACATGGAGGCAATGTTCTTTATACATAAGAAGGTTCATATAGGACAGACCTTTGGTAAATATAATGAATATGAGAAAGCCTGTAATAACTTAGCTATTATTGTCCAAGGGATAACTCAGGTAAGACAGCCAACTTGCTGTAGAAAGTCTGACTTCAGTAAACATCAGCAAACACACACAGGAGAGAAACCCCATGAATGTGTTGAATGTGAGAAACCCTCCATTAGCAAATCAGACCTCATGATACAGCACAAGATGCCTACTGAGGAAAAACCTTATGCCTGTAACTGCTGTGAAAAATTGTTCAGCTATAAGTCCAGCCTCACTATCCATCAGAGAATTCACACAGGGGAAAAGCCCTATGGATGCAATGAATGTGGAAAAACCGTTCGCTGTAAGTCATTCCTCACTTTACATCAGAGAACTCACACTGGGGATAAGCCCTACAAATGTATTGAATGTGGAAAAACTTCACTGTAAATCACTTCTCACTTTACATCACAGAACTCACTCAGGGGAAAAGCCCTATCAGTGTAGTGAATGTGGAAAAACCTTTAGCCAGAAGTCATACCTCACAATACATCATAGAACTCACACCTGGCAAAAGCCCTATGCATGTGACCATTGTGAAAAAGCATTTAGCCATAAGTCAAAGCTTACTGTCCATCAGAGAACACACACAGGGGAAAAGCCCTATGAATATAATGAGTGTAGAAAACCCTTTATCAATAAGTCAAACCTCAGGATACATCAGAGAACTCACATTAGAAAAACCCTATGAATGCAATGAATGTGGGAAAACGTTTCACCAAAAGTCGTTCCTCACTGTCCATCAAAGGACTAACACAGGCAAAAAACCCTACGAATGCAATGAACGTGGGAAAACCTTTCACTGTAAGTCATTCCTCACTGTCCATCAGAAAACTCATACTGGGGAAAAACCATATGCATGTAACAAATGTGGAAAAACATATAGCCACAAGTCATAACTTACAGTACCTCACAGAACTCACACAGGGGAAAAACCCTATGAAAGTAATGAATGTGGAAAATCCTTTTACTGTAAGTTATAAGTCATTTCTAACTATACATCAGAGAACTCATGCTAGCAAAAAACCCTATGAATGTAATGAATGTGAGAAAACCTTTATCAATAAGTTAAACCTTGGGATACACAAGAGAACTCACACAGGGGAAAGACCCAATTAATGTGATGAATGTGGGAAAACCGTTCGTCAGAAGTCAAATCTCAGCACACATCAGGGAACTCACACAGGGGAGAAACCTTACATATGAAATGAATGTGGAAAAACCTTTCATCGCAAGTCATTCCTCACCGTACACCAGAGAACTCACACAGGGGAGAAACAGTATGGATGTAACCAATGTGGAAAAACTTTTTGTCAGAAATCATACCTTATTATACATCAGAGAACTCACACTGGGGAAAAGCCCTATGAATGTAATGAATGTGGAAAATCCTTTCATCAGAAGGCAAATCTTCGTAAGCATCCAGATATTCACACAGGGGAGAAACCCTATGAATGTAGCGAATGTGGAAAAACCTTCAGTCAGAAGTCAGTCCTCACTGTCCATCATAGAACCCATACTGGAGAAAAGCCTTACGAATGTAATGAGTGTGGGAAAACCTTTTGTCACAAGTCAAACCTCAATATGCATCAGGGAATTCACTCAGGAGAGAGAAACCCTGTGAATGTGATGAATGTAGGAAAACTTTTTACCATAAGGCAGTTCTCACCATACATCAGAGAATTCACACAGGTGAGAAGTCATTTGAATGTAAGAAAACCTTCTCCCAGGAGTCAAAACCCTTTGTACAGCACAGAACTCACACAGAGGAAAAACCCTTTAGATGTAATGAATGTAGGAAAATTTTCTCCCAGAAGTCAGGCCTCAGTATACATCAGAGAACACACACAGGAGAAAAACCTTATGAATGTAAGGAATGTGGGAAAACCTTTTGCCAGAAGTCACACCTCAGCAGGCATCAACAAACCCATATAGGAGAGAAATCTGATGTAGCTGAGGCAGGCTATGCATTCCCTCAAAATCACTTTTTTTCCCTTGAACACACAATGTACACCTCTCTGGCTACTATTATAGATTTCTCCATGCTCAGTCTAGGATAATATGGACAAAAATTGTGACCATTACTTCCTGGCCTACCAACAAGAAGGTCTTAACAATGCTGTAACAGAAGTGCTATCATGCAGGCTTTCTTGTTCCCATTTTTACAGCATACTTCGCACTTTAATGTCACAGATATGGCTGTTTTCCTAGAAGTTCATGTACCAACCTCTGCCAGCTTCAAACATTTCTTCTGAAACTTCCTCACCTCTGTTCTCCTCCATAGAATTGAAGAGAGTTAGGGCCTTTCTCAGGATTAGGCTTTGTCTCAGGGGAATGTTGGGGCTGGTTTGATCTTCTATGCAGACCACTCAGACTTTCTCTGTGTCAGTAAAAAGGCTGTTTTGTTTTTTAAAAATTATTCATGTGTTCACTGGAGTAGCACCTATAACTTCCTTCAAGAACTTTTTCTTTACATTCACAACTTGGGTAGCTCATGCAAGAAGCTTAGCTTTGGCCTGTCTTAGCTTCCAACATGCTTTCTTCACTAAGCTTGATAATTTGAAGTGACAGATGTGCACACTTCTTTTCATTTGAACACATGGTGGCCACTGCAGGGTGAAGTGGCCTAATTTCATTGTTGTATCTTGGGGAATGGGGGGCTGGAAGAGAGAAATGGAGATAGGGAAATGACTAGCCAATGAAGCAGTCAAACACAACACTTTTCCATCGTGTTTACTGTCTTCCATAGAGTTCCAGCACACTGAGACAATTCCAATAGTAACACCAGAAATCACTGATCACAGATCATCATAACGGATGTGATAACTAAAATGTTTGAAAGATTGTGGAGATTGCCAAAAGATGTGACACAGATGTGAAGTGAGCACACGGTGTTGGAAAAATGGTGCTGGTCAGACTTGCTGAACACTTTGTGGCCACAAATCTTTAATTTGTTAAAAAGGTGATGTTACCAAGCAAAATAAAGTGAAGCTCGATAAAGTGAGGTGTGCCTCTATTTTGATGGGCTTTAACCACTAGTCTTTTCATTGGTGCATTTAGACCATGACATTCAAAGTGATTATACAGTTGGGTTAATTTTGCCATATCATTTTCCATTCACTCCTATTGTTCTTTGTTCTTGCTTTGTCCTCCACTCTTTTTCTGCCTTTTATGGAGTTGATGATTTTATATGATTTTTATTTCCTCTCATTACTTTTTTTTTAAAATTGAAACAGCATTCACCCAGGCTGGAGTGCAGTCGTGTGGTCATGGCTCCCTGCAGACTCAACCTCGTGGGTTTAAGTGATCTTTCCACCTCAGCCTCCCAACTAGCTAGGACTACAAGTATGCAATTAACTAGGACTACAGGTATGCAATTAACTAGGACTACAAATATGCAATTAACTAGGACTACAAGTATGCAATTAACTAGGACTACAAGTATGCAATTAGGTAGGACTACAAGTAAGTCATTAGCTAAGACTACAAGTATGCAATTAGCTAGGACTACAAATATGCAATTAGCTAGACTACAAGTATGCACCACAATACCTGGCCTTTTCTGTAGGGACAGGGTCTCACTGTGTTGCTCAGGATAGTCTCTAACTCCTGGACTCAAGCCATCTTTCTACCTTGGCATAAGCCACTATACCTGGCCTGTTTCCTCTTTTTAGTATTTTTATACTTTGGTTTTTACTAGTTGCCCTGGAGTTTGCAGTATAGACTTGCAACAAATCCAAGTCCACCTTCAAATAACACTATACTAGTTCAGTTACTTTGACGGCCTTCTAATAGAAATGTAATACCAGCTTCTCTCATATTCCCATCTCTTGTGTTATTGTTGCCATTTGTTTCACTTATATGTAAGCATACATAGCCTTGTATATATTAAAGTATGTAATTGGCTGGGTGCCTTGGCTCACGCCTGTAATCCCAACACTTTGGGAGGCCGACGCAGGTGGACCATGAGGTCAGGAGATGGAGACCCTCCTTGCTAACACAGTGAAACCCCATCTTTACTAAAAATACAAAAATTAGCTGGTAATGGTGGCACACGCATGTAGTCCCAGCTATTCAGGAGGCTGAGACAGGAGAATTGCTTGAACCAGGGAGGAGGTGGAGGTTGCAGTGAGCTGAGATTGCACCACTGCACTCCAGCCTGGGCGACAGAGCAAGGCTCCGTCTGAAAAAAAAGTATATAATTGCATACATTGTTATTATATACAAACTGTTATATGTTAGGTGAATTAAGAATAAAAAGTAAGCAGCCGGATACGGTGGCTTATGCCTGTAATCCCAGCACTTTGGGAGGCCGAGGTGGGCAGATCACAAGGTCAGAAAACTGAGACCATCCTAGCTAACATGGTGAAATCCTGTGTTTACTAAAAACACGAAAACAAAATTAGCCAGGCGTGGTGGTGGGTGCCTGTAGTCCCAGCTACTCGGGAGGCTGAGGCAGGAGAATGGCATGAACCTAGAAGGCAGAGCTTGCAGTGAGCCAAGATCACACTACTGCACTTCAGCCTGGGTGACAGAATGAGACTCCATCTCAAAAAAAAAAAAAAAAAAAAAAGGGATTTTACCACCACTTATTCCTTCTCTAATGTTCTTTTTAAAATGTAAATTCAGGCGGGTGTAGTGGCTCACACCTGTAATCCCAGCACTTTGGGAGGTCGAGATGTGTGGATCACGAAGTTAGGAGTTCAATACCAGCCTGGCAGAGATGGTGAAACACTGTCTCCAATAAAAATACAAAAAAATTAGCCAGGCGTGGTGGAGGGCTCCTGTAATCCCAGCTACTTGGGGGGTTGAGGCAGAGAATTGCTTGAACCTGGGAGGCTGAGGTTGCAGTGAGCCGAGATTGTGCCACTGCACTCCAGCCTGGGCAACAGAGCGAGACTCAGTCTCAAAATAAATAAATAAAAATAAATGAAATGTAGATTCAGTTTTCAGATGTGTATCTTTTTTTTTGTCTAGATAATGTTTAACATATTCTCACATAACACATTTGCTGGTAACAAGTTTCCTCAACTTTTGTTTGTCCAAGGAATGCTTTATTTCTCATTTACTTTTGAAAGAAGATCTCACAGGGCACTGAAATCTAATTTGATTTTTTTTCTCTCAGCATGCTTAATATTTCATTCCACTCTCTTTACTTTCATGGTTCTGAGATGTTGAATGTAATTTTTTTTTTTGAGACAGAGTCTCACTCTGTCACCCAGGCTGGAGTGCAGTGGTGTAATCTCGGCTCACTGCAAGTTCTGCCTCCCAGGTTCACACCATTCTCCTGCCTCAGTCTCCCGAGTAGCTAGGACTACAGGCTCCTGCCACCACGCCTGGCTAATTTTTTGTATTTTTTGTGGAGATGGGGTTTCACCATGTTAGCCAGGATGGTCTCAATCTTCTGACCTCGTGATCCACCCAACTTGGCCTCCCACAGTACTGGGATTACAGGCATGAGCCACAAAGCCTGGCCTGAATGTGATTTTTGTTTGTTTGTCTATAGGTTTCTTTGTTTCTCTACCTTTGTTTCTTTGTTTCTCTACCTTTGTTTCTTTGTTTCTCTATAGGTAAGATGTTGTCCACTCCACCTTTGGTCTCTTTTGCAGTTGATGTTTTATACAGTTGGAGAATAATATGCCTAGGTGTAGGTTTTTAGCATGTACACTGTCTGGTGTGCTCTGAGCTTCCTGGATCTTTGATTTGGTGTCTGACATTAACAGTGGAAGTTGTCAAACATGATTGTTGCCGATGTTTCTTCTATTTCTCTCTCCTCCTTCTGGTATTCTCATCACTCTATGTTACACCTTTTGTAACTGTCCCACTGTTCTTGGATATTATGTTCCATTGTTTTCAGTTTTTAAAGTTTCTTTCACATTTCCAGAGCTCACAGACTCTTTCCTTTGTTGTGTTCAGCCTACTAGTAAGCCAATCAAAGACATTCTTCAGGTCTGTTGCAGTATTTTTTTATCTCTACTGTTTCTTTTTTGTTCTTTCCTTGGACTTCTGTCTCTCTGCTTACATTGCCTATCTGTTCTTGAATGCTGTCTCCTTTGTTCATCAGAGCCCTTAGCATACTACTTAGAGATATTTTTAAAAATCCCTGTCTGATAATTCCAGCATCATAGCTATGTCTTGTTCTGATGATCTGTCACTTCAAATTGTGATTTTTGCCTTTTAGTATGCCTTGTGCTTTTTCTTTATTCCTAGATATGAGATACCAGGTAAAAGGAACTACTGTGACACTGCATCCTGTAATGATGGGAAGCTATGGAGGGGAGGGGAAGCTGTCTTAGTCCATCCACCAGCATAACTTAGAGCAAGTAATTTGTAAACAACAGAAATTTGTTGCTCAGTTTGGAGGCTAGAAAGTCCAAAGTCAAGGTTCCAAGAGATTCAGTGTTTGATGCGACTCATTCCTCATAGATGGTGCCAGCTATATGTCCTCTCATGTTGGAATGGACAAAGAAGCTTCCTTTGGCCTCTTTCATAAGTGCACTAATCCCAATCAGGATGGCTTTGCCATTACATTTCAAAGGCCCCACCCCTTAATTCTAGTGCATTGGAGACTTGGTTTCAACAGGCACATTTTGCAAGGGGTCGGGCAGGAAACAAATATTCAGACCATAGCAGAAGTGTTCTGGAGTCTTACGATTGGGCCTCATTGTTTAAGGGAGTATCTGCTTTTGGACTATGAACTTCACATGTGTTTCTCTGTTTTTATCTTCCCCTTTAGGGATGAGTGTAGTAGGCTGGAGTTCGTTATTTCCCTTCCAGCAGGTCATTTAGGATCTGATTATATGAGAGCAAGTTAGGCTGAGGTTCAGTAATTTCTCCTGAGGACAAGCCTTGTTAAGAACAGGGTGCTCTGGCATATTTTAAGATGGTTTTCCTTTTTCCTTCCCAAAGGTGGAAGCAGGAAGCGAGTTTTCTCAGGTGTTTGCCACAGGAGCCTGGTGAAGCTCCAGGAGGTAAATTTTACAATATTATGCTCCCTCATACCTGGATATCCCTGGCGTTTTTACCTCCTTGTGTTGTCCATATGGAACCTTCAGCAATTCACCAGTTATTGTTCAAGATTTTCTACTCCAGCACTGGTTCCTAAGGTGGTTTCAGTAGTGAGTCTCTGTTCCTGTAAGCCATAAATTCCTATATTCACTTCTCTATCTCTCCAATCTTGGGGGCAGTGGCTTGCCCTATGTCCTCTCTTCACATTCAAATCCAAAAAGGATTGTAGATTTTTCAGTCTCTTCAGCTTTTATTTGTTTTATTAAAAAAAACTTTTTTAGAGTTGGGGGTCTCACTATGTTGCCCAGGTTGGTCTCAAACTCCTAGACTCAAGGGAACCTCCTGCTTTGGCCTCCCAAAGTGCTGGGATGATAGGCATGAGCCGCCACACCTGACCTTTTCAGCTTTTCATGTGTTAAGATGGACTGATTACTTCCATTCTTTTTTTTTTCCTTTTTTTGAGATGGAGTCTCACCTTGTTGCTCAGGCTGGAGTGCAGTCGTGCAATCTCAGTTCACTACAACATCTGGCTCCCAGGTTCAAGTGATTCTCCCTGCCTCAGCCTCCTGAGTAGCTGGGATTACAGGCACCCACCACCATGCTGGCTAATTTTTGTATTATTATTATTTCATTTTTTAATTTTTTGAGGCAGAGCTCACTCTGTCATCCAGGCTGTAGTACAGTGGCTTGATCTTGGCTTACTGCAACCTCCACCTCCCAGGTTCAAGCAATTATTCTGCCTCAGCCTCCCAAGTAGCTGGTACTACTGGCAAACACCATCAAACTTCGATAATTTTTGTATTTTTAGTAGAGGTTCGGTTTTGCCATGTTGGTCAGGTTGGTCTCAAACTCCTGATTTCAGGTGATCCACCCACCTCAAGCTCCCAAAGTGCTGGGGTTACAGGTGTGAGCCTCTGCGCCCAGCCTAATTTTTTTTTATTTTTAGTAGAGATGGGGGTTTGCCATGTTGACCAGGCTGGTCTTGAACTTCTGACTTCAGGTGATCTGCCCACCTTGGTCTCCCAAAGTGCTGGGATTACAGGCATGAGCCACTGCACCTGGCCACTTCTAAGCTTCTTACATGCAGAAATCAGAACCTGGAATCTGTTTCTAAGACTTTTCTTCTTAATGCCTATGTGGACAATTAAAGGATTTTTCTCCTCAGGACTCTGAATATGATGAATTGTATTAGTAGACTTTCTAATATTGAGCTTTTCTTAATTTGTGAAATAAACTCAGAAAGATCCTTCTTGGTCTTAACAGTTTATTTCTCTTTGTAAATATTAGGGATTCTGTGGATTCTGTACTTGTTCCTTTTTATCCTTTCATTCTCTTAGGTTCATTTGGTCTGATGTATTCAGGTACCATTGAAATTCTGATAGTTTCAAAATCTTTATCTCCAGCTTTGATCTCTCTTGTGAACTCTGGAACTGTATTCCCAATTGCCAGTTGGGCATCCCTACATATGGGACCTCAGATATTTCCAACATGACGTGTCCAAGTCTGTATCACTTCTGGCCATCATATTGTTCTTTTATTTTTCCAAATTTCACATCACCAGTAACAAACTAGCTGTAATCATGGCAGATAGCCTGGAAATAAAACTCCCCTTTTTACCCACTGCACAGCAAATTGACATCAAATCCTGTTTCTACTTGTTTTCCTTTTAACTATTGCTTCCCTATTCTGTATTCTCACTGCTCCATCTTCTGATGTAGGAGGTCATCTGTCTTTCTCTTTTCCTCTCCTCTGACTCTTAAGCCCTTTCCCATTCTCTTTCTCAGGAATGGCTGTTAAAATGCCAATATGGTCATGTAACTTTCCTGTACTTAGTGAACCTCCTTATTTACACCCTGTTTGTGAAGAGGCTGTGTTCACCCTGGGTGGACACAGAATGTTTTTGGCATGTACAAAGAGAATTTTATGCTTCCTGTGTAGAGCTACTAATTTGTAAGTACACTCAGCTTTTTGTATCTGTAGGTTTAATATCTGTGTATGTAAACAAACTTGGATGCAAAATATTTGAAATAAAATCAGACGCTTGCATCTGTAGTGAACATATTCAGACTTTTTCTTGTCATTACTTGCTAAACAACACAACTATTTACATCCACATTGTATTTGGTCTTCTAAGTGTGAAAGGAAAATAAAGATTGGGACTCCAACTCATTAAGCTAAAGGGAAAAGTCAAGCTGGGAACTCAGTCATGCAAACCTGCCTCCTCCTTTTGTACCTAAATAAGATGACTACAAGATAAAAAGCTCATATTTTTCCCACAAGGAAATTTCTGGTGTGCTTTAAGATCTTTAAAGTGTTTCTGTTAAAATTCATCATGGCAACGTAAATCAATAGCTTATCCCTTTTATTCTTTTTTTTTTTGAGATGGAGTTTCACTATTGTCACCCAGGCTGGAGTGCAATGGCACAATCTCGGCTCACCGCAACCTCTGCCTCCCGGGTTCAAGTGATTCTCCTGCCTCAGCCTCCTGTGTAGTTGGGATTACAGGCATGAACCACCACACTTGGCTAATTTTGTATTTTTAGTAGAGACAGGGTTTCTCCATGTTGGTCAGGCTGGTCTTGAACTCCAGACCTCAGGTGATCCACCCACCTCAGCCTCTTAGAGTGCTGGGATTACAGATGTGAGCTGCTGTGCCTGGTTTGATATCTCATCTTTACAATGCATAGGACAGAACTCAGAGTCATCCCTCTGCCCACCTGACACAAATGCATATCTGATTGTTCCCCTCCCTGTTTGTCTATGTTATGTATAAATGCAGATTCACTGAGCCAAAGACATGGATGACTGTATCAGTCTGTTCTCACCCCTCTGCCCACCTGACACACATGCATATCTGATTGTTCCCCTCCCTGTTTGTCTATGTTATGTATAAACGCAGATTCACTGAGCCAAAGACATGGATGACTGTATCAGTCTATTCTCACCCCTCTGCCCTCCTGACACAAATGCATATCTGATTGTTCCCCCTCCCTGTTTGTCTATGTTATGTATAAATGCAGATTCACTGAGACAAAGGCATGAATGACTGTATCAGTCTGTTCTCATACTGCTCTGAAGAAATACTCAAGACTGGGTCATTTATAAAGGAAAGAGGTTTAATTGACTCACAGCTCTGCATGGCTGGAGAGGCCTCAGGAAACTTACAATAATGGCAGAGAGCATCTCTTCACAGGGGGGCAGGAGAGACAATGAGTGCAAGCACGGGAAATACCAGACACTTACAAAACCATCAGATCTCATGTGACTCATTATCATGAGAACAGCAAAGAGGAAACTGCCCTGATGATCCAATTACTTCCACTTGGTCCCACCCTTGACACATGAGGATTATTACAATTTATGGTGAGATTTGTGTGGGGACACAGAGCCAAACAGTATCAATGAATGTTTTCCCCCTACCCCAATCTTACATGAAAACTGTATTTCTCAATATTTCACCCTTTCCCCTTTAAATTTGGAGCCCTCATAATCATTTTTGAAGAAAGGCATAGACCTGTCTCCTGGGTGTGCATCCTTAACGTTGGCAAATAAACCTCTTAAAATGATCGAGATTTGTCTCGGTCGTGTTTCCTGATTGACCGAAGTGTTCCAGAGATGATATAAAGTACAGTCATGCATGGCTTAATGACATGTGTATGTTCTGAGACATGCATTACTAAGCAATATTTTTGTTTTGTGAACATCATAAAGTGTACTTTTATAACCCTAGATGGTATATATGTTTATATTTTTTCACATGAGAAACCATATGTTCTAGCACCGTAATTGAATATCAGTCACTTTCCCTACTTGATCTGCAGTGCTAGTATCAAGTCCCGCATATCAGTTTTTATCGGGGGAACCAGCCCCCAATATTTCAACGTAGGTTCTTTCTATTTTCCCTAAGTGTTTGCTGGTCTGAGAAATAAAGGGTACAAATAAAGAAATTTTACATCTAGGCCTCTGGGGGTGTCATCACATTGGTAGGACCATGATGGTGACCTTGAGCTGCAAAACCAGCCAGTTTTTATTAGGGATTTTGAAAGGGGAGGGGGTTTACGAACAGGGAGTAGGTCACAAGGGTCACATGCTTCAAAGGGCCATAAAGATCACAAGGTGAAGGCAAAATTAGAACCACTGATGAGGGTCTGTGTCACACTGTGCACACATTGTCTTGATAAACATCTTAACAGGAAACAAGGTTCAAGAGCACAGACCAGTCTGACTAGAATTCACCAGGCTGGAATTTCCCAATCCTAGCAAGCCTGAGGGTACTGCAGGAGACCAGGGTGTATTTCAGTCCTTATTTCAACTGCATAAGACAGATACTCCCAGAGCGGCCGTCTATAGACCTACCCCCGGGAATGCATTCCTTTCCCAGGGTATTAATTATTAATATTCCTTGCTGAGAAAAGAATTCAGTGATATTCTCTTATTCACACGTCCATCTATAGGCTCTCTGCAAGAAGAAAAATATGGCTGTATTCTGCCCGACCCCGCAGGCAGTCAGACCTTATGGTTATCTTCCCTTGTTCCCTGAAAATCGCTGTTATTCTGTTCTTTTTCAGGGTGCACTGATTTCATATTGTTCAAACACCCATGTTTTACAATCAGATTTGATATTGTTTGAACACACGTTTTACAGACAATTTGTACACTTAACACAATCATCACAGGGTCTTGAGGCGACATACATCATCAGCTTATGAAGATGATGGGATTAGATTAAAGTAAGACAGGGATAAGAAATTATAAAAATATTAATTATAAAAGTATTAATAAATGTCCATGAAATCTTCACAATTTATGTTCTTCTGACATGGTTCCCACCAGTCCCTCCATTCGGGATCTCTGACTTCCTGCAAGAAGGTTTCTATATGTGTTTATAATCTTAAGGGGCCATGGTAATATACATGGTTCATTATTGATTAAAAGGTCATTATGAGACACATGACTGCATATGGAAGGATAAGCATGGGTTATATGCAAATATACCATTTTATGTAAGACTTGAGCATCAGTGGATTTTGGTATCTGTGGGAGTATTCTGGAGCTGATTTCCCATGGATACTGAGGAACAACTGTACTTTGAAAATGAAAGGTGCATGCATTTTTGTCATTAAAATTAGGTCAAATATTTAAACGCAGAATCACTGCATAATCAGTTCCTTCAAGATTGCGTCTATCTCTCTCATCAAGGCCCAGGATCTCTTATCTAGATACACTGCAGTGTGTCATTCCATTAACATGGTGTGTCTTCTTTGTGTCCTTGGGACTGGACTTCAGCTACACCTCATAGTTGTGAGATGGTGTGGTTCACATGGAAGTGCTAAACAACTTTGTTTTTTCAGTGAAGTGCAACCTCATAATACTGTGCATCACCATGCCTGGCTAGTTTTTCTATTTTTTGTAGAGACAGGGTTTCACCATGTTGCTCAGTCTGGTCTTGAACTCATGAGCCCAAGTGATCCACCTGCCTCAACCTCCCAAAGTGCTGGAATTACAGGCATGAGCCACTGTACCTGTCCTAACAAACCATTTGAACTACAGGTTAAGCGAAGTCTCTCTCTCTGATATTTGGTCTTCTTTTTACAACTCCTAAAATATCTAAATGTGCCCTCCCTCTCAGGGCACACAGCCCAATCCTATTTTCTCCCATATGATAGGAAAGAAAGAATCACATAACAAACACCTAGTGATCTTCATTGTGAAGAGCACACGGTCAAAACATTTTTTAAAATCCTATTTTGAAGTCCAGTTTTGCAAAGAATTAATAAATAATGACACAAATTGATGAAAGTGTAGCTATCTTACTGAAACCAGTGTAAGAACACAAATGGAATTCATAATGAGCCACAAAGTCATCTGAGTCCAGATCAAAATGTCAAGGTCTTGAGAAAAGGCCCAACTGGGAGCAAATTATGAAATCTACATGAGTCTCTTAAGGACGACTTAGGGAAGGCTTGGCCTTTGGTCGTTATTATGAGACTGATATGGTTTGGCTGTGTCCTCACCCAAATCTCGAATTGTTGTTCCCATAATTCCCACGTATTGTGGGAGGGACCTAGTGGGAGGTAATTGAATCATGAGGATTGTGCTGTTCTTATGATAGTTAATAAGTCTCATGAGATCTGATGGTTGTATGCAAGGAAGTTCCCCTGCACATGCTTTCTCTTGTCTGCTGCTGTGTAAGACCTGACCTTTGCCTTCTGCCATGACTGTGAGGTCTCCCCAGCCAAGTGGCACTGTGAATCCATTAAACTTATTTTTCTTTATAAATTACCCAGTCTTGGTCATGTCCATATTAGCAGCATGAGAACAGACTAATACGGAGACTTATTATGAGTTTGATAGGAAGGTGCAGAAACAGAGTTCTGGAGTCAGATTATGGGTGACAGCTACGTAATCTTTTTTATTCCAGAAAATTGAAAGATTTTATATATGAGTGGAACTTAGTTTCTGTTCAGTGTTGATGTGGGAAAAAATGAGGTTAGATTTGTGAGCAGGAGCTGAATCATTAAAAGTCTTCAAGTCCTTGCTAAAGAGTGAGAACCTAAGTTTTAAACTGTTGTTAAGTGATTTTAAGCCCTTGAGGAACACAGTTACCTGTCTAGAGATGTTAGTCTGGAAGCAAACAAGATAACGGGAAGTAAGAGGAGTGCAGGCTGATGGAAACATGATGGAAAATGGAAATATTTCAGATGAGAGAGGGTGAGGTTTTCACTGAGTAGAGGAGTGCAGGCTGATGGAAACATGATGGAAAAAGGAAATATTTCAGGTGAGAGAGAGTGAGGGTTTCACTGAGTCATAAAGTTGTGGAGAGGAAGCAGTGAGTAGAATACTTAAGAAGTAGAATTAATAAAACTTTGTGACAGAACAGGTGATGGGTCTGGGAGAGAACTATATCTGGAACAGTGGATCTCAGAGTGCTCCATGAAAATAAGACTCTTTCTATCATAATACAGCTATGTTACTTGTATTTTTCGCTTTTTTTGTTCTCTGCTTTGGTGCAAAAGCAGTAGTAAGTAAAACCGTAGCAAAAACAAGACAGCGGCTCCAAATAATAGTAGCAGTTCTATTATTTACAGTCACTTGGTTGCCTAAATAAGTAAACAGGCCAATTTTATTTTCATGTTACTTAAGAATATCATTGATGAAGCAGTAAAAAATAACATTTTCATTAAATCTAGATCCCCAAGTATGTCTTTTCAGTATTCTATTTGATAAAATGGTAAGAACTCATAGAGCACTTATTACTTAAAAATGAACTAAGTGTGACAGGGTGCAGTGGCTCATGCCTGTAATCCCAGCACTTTTGGAGCTCAAGAGTTTGTGACCAGTTGGAGCAACATGGTGAAACCCAATCTCTACAAAAAAATGTTAGCCAGGGGTGATGATGTAAGCCTGTAGTCTACTGTAGGGATGAGCCCTACAGGGTCTTTGGGTTTTCCTCACCGTGTGCAGAGATGAGAGATCATAGAAATAAAGACACAGGACAAAGAGATAGAAGAAAACACAGTTGGGCCCGGGGGACCACTGCCACCAAGATGTGGAGACTGGTAATGGCCCCGAATGCCTGGCCAAACTGTTATTTATTGAATACAAGGCAAGGGGGCAGGGTAAGGAGTGTGAGCCATCTCCAATGATAGGTAAGGTCACGTGGGTCTCTTGTCCACCAGTCGGGGGACCTTCCTTGTTTGGCAGCCGAGGCGGAGAGAGAGAGAGGACAGCTTACGCCATTATTCCGTCTGTGCATTCCAAAGACTTTTAGTACTTTCACTAATTCCGCTACTGCTATCTAGAAGGCCAAGCCAGGTGCAGAGGGTGGAACATGAAAGCAGACCAGGAGCCTGACCGCTGAAGCACAGCATCACAGGGAGACAGGCCTCCGGATGGCTGCGGGCGAGCTTGACTGATGTCGCCTTCCACAAGAGGTGGTGGAGCAGAGTCTTCTCTAACTACCCCGGGGAAAGGGAGACTCGCTTTCCCGGTCTGCTAAGTAACCGGTGCCTTCCCAGGCACTAGCGCTACCGCTAGACCAAGGTCTGCTAAGTAACCGGTGCCTTCCCAGGCGCTGGCGTTACCGCTAGACGAGGGAGCCCTCTGGTGGTCGTGTCTGGGAGTGACAGAGGGCTCATACTCTTGTCTTCTAGTCACTTCTCACCATGTCCCTTCAGCTCCTATCTCTGTATGGCCTGGTTTTTCCTAGGTTATAGTCGTGGAACAGAGATTATTATAATATTGGAATAAAGAGTAACACTACAAACTAATGATTACTAATATTCACATATCATCATTTATATTCTATTTCTAGTACAAGTATTCTTCTATATATTTTCTTTATTACACTGGAACAGCTCATGCCCTCAGTCTCTTGCCTTGGCACCTGGGTGGCTTGAGGCCCACAGTCTACTACTGGGGAGGCTGAGGCGGGAGGATCATTTGGCCCCGGGAGGCAGAGGTTGCAGTGAGCTATGATTGCACCACTGCACTCCAGCCTGGGCAACAGAGCAAGACCTTGTCTGAAAAAAAAAAAAAAGTGAGATTGTCTTAAAGAAAAATAACTGAGCTGTTACTGAAAATGTAAAAAGTTTTCAAGTGAAAATTAAAATTTAGAAAACGTATCTGCATTCTTGAACATGACAATTTTTCAAAACTTACGGATTTTTCTGAGGAGATCAAGGGTAATATTACTGAATTTCAAAATATTTTATAATATAGTGTATCAATATTTGGAACATCTGCATTATTCAATGAACCAATATTTTCCCAATGGCCATGCCAATATGATAAAAATCATGATCGGTAAAAGACCCATTAACATTGAAAATAGACCTATAGGTTTTAATGTGATATAGCAGAAAAAGCATATGATGTGGTGTCATGCCTCCCATTGCAATAACCTGAATAAAGCATTTGTTTGCAGATCAAAGAAGAAGAACAATAGTTGGCCAAAAATACTTAATTTTTTTTTTTCGAGATGGAGTTTCACTCTGTCACCAGGCTGGACACAATCTTGGCTCACTGCAAACTCCACCTCCTGGGTTCAAGCAATTCTCCTTCCTCCGCCTCCCAAATAGCTGGGATTACAGTCACTCACCACCACGCTTGCTAATTTTTGTATTTTTAGTAGAGACGGGGTTTCACCATGTTGGCCGGCTGGTCTCGAACTCCTGACCTCAAGTGATCTGCCCGCCTCAGCCTCTGAAAATGCTGGGATTAGAAGCTTGTACCACCACACTTCGTCCAAAAATTATTTTAAATTATTCTTCCTTTCTAGAACTTCATGTCTGTGTAGGGCAATATTTTCTTCACACACTTAGTCAAAACAACATATTGCAACAGACTGAATTCAGAAGCAGATATGAGTATCAAGCTGTCTTCAGTTAAGCCAGACATTTTGCAAAAATGTAAAAACATTGCAACTCTTCAAACTATGTGGGGACTTGTTTTATTTTAAAATACTATTTTGTTAGCATGAACTGAATTTATTATTTTTAGGCATGTTACCTTTTTTTTTTTTTTTTTTGAAGTGAAATCTTGCTCTGTTTCCAGGCTGGAGTGCAGTGGCGCGATCTTGGCTCACTGCAACATCCACCTCCTAGGTTCAAGCGATTCTTCAGCCTCAGCCTTCCGAGTAGCTGGGACAATAGGTGCCCATGACCACGCCCGACTATTTTTTTTTCTTTTTTTTTTTTGTATTTTTAGTAGAGATGGGGTTTCACCGTGTTGGCCAGGATGGTCTGGATCTCTTGACTTTGTGATCCACCTGCCTCAGCCTCCCCAAGTGCTGGGATTACAGGTGTGAGCCACTGCACCCGGCCAATATTTACTAATTTAGAAGTCCTAATTTCTCTTATGATAATCATTAATAGAAATAATACATATGAATAAATTTGGGTGAGAGAGAAAGGTTTGGAAGTTGTCAATTATTTTTCCTTTTAACTTATTTAAAATTCAAGTGTCATGTCTACAAAATGGTTGCAAAACTCATAAATTAAAATAGAGACCTATTCCTCCACACTCCTTTAGTTTCATTTTTTCCTTCTATCAGAGAGTTTATCACTATTATTTTTAGTCTTGTCATCCCAACTGAATTATGAAGTCCTGTAGAAAAAAAAGTTATGTGCTTTATTTTTGATTTATTTGTACTTAGCACCATGAATTGCTTAGGGATTGTTCTTTAAAATAAAATTTAAATAACATCAGGACAGGCATGGGGGCTCACACCTGTAATCACAGCACTTTTGGAGACTGAGGTGGGCAGATTACCTGAGGTGAGGAGTTCGAGAACAGCCTGGCCAACACTGAAAAACCCCGTCTCTACTGCAAATACAAAATTAACCAGGCGTGGTGGCGCTCTCCTATAATCCCAGCTACTCTGGACACTGAGACAGGAAAATCGCTTAAAAGTGGGAGGCAGAGTTTGGATTGAGCTGAGATCGTGCCACTGCAATCCAGCCTGGGTTACAGAGCAAGACTCCATCTCAAAAATAAATAAATAAATAAACAAAAACATCAGTTAACAATGTTGTCATTTAGGCATATTTAGGCATTAATTCTATCACTTACCAGACCTTAATATTTTAAATTGTTGATCATGGAATTTGTTGATTTGAACCTGAACAACCTTAATTATTTTCAAGTAGTTTTTCCTTCAATTAAATTATATTAATTTTATATTTATTTGAAATAATTTATTTCCATATTTTTATTAAACTTTAATCAATGTTTTGTGCTTTTATAGCCATGTGAAATATTGATTTGTTTTTGAAATATTGATTTTAAAAACAATGCAATTAGTTGATATTTATTATTGAAAGTACTAGAATTTCAAAACCTTAATATTGATAATTATTGTCATTTAGAAAAATAAGACTGTTGTAGAAATGAAGAGAGAAGGAGTAAGAAAGGCGATTGCTTTTTATTTTGAGTATTTTCTTTTCCTTTTTTTCTTTTTAGTAAAAATGGGCTCTTGCTGTGTTGACTAGGCTGGCCTTGAACTCCTGGCCTCAAGTGATCCTCCTGCCTCGGCTTCTCAAAGAACTGGGTTTACAGATATGAACCACTGTGCCCAACCTGATAATTATTTTTATGTCATATTGACAGGTTTTAGACTAATAAAACATTTTTATTTTGTTTATTATTTCAGATTCAGGGGTACATGTGCAAATTTGGTTTAAGAGTAAATAGCATGGTGCTTAAGTTTGGGCTTCTATTGGTCCCATCAACCAGATAGCGAACATAGTACCTAATAGGAAGCTTCTCAGGTCTTGTGCCATTCCCTCCTCCCTCCTTTGAAGTCCTTAGTGTCTATTGTTCCCAAGTTTATGTCTGTGTGTACCCAAGATTTAATTCCCACTTATAAGTGAGAACCTGTGATAGCTGGTTTTCTGTTTCTGCATTAAGTTGCTTGGGATGATGGGCACCAGATGCATCCATGTTGCTGCAAAGAACGTTATTTAATTCTTTTTTATGGCTGCATAGTATTCCATGGTGTACATATGCCACATTTTCTTTGTCGTATTCATCATTAATGTGCACCTAAGTTGATTCCATGTCTTTGCTATTGTGAACATATTAGTGTATGTGTCTTTGGGTAGAATAATTATAATTTATTTTATTTTGGGTATACACCCAGTAATGGGATTTCTGGGTCTAATGATAGTTCTGTTTTTTGAGAAATCTTCAAACCACTTTCCACAGTGGCTGAACTAATTTGCATTCCTACCAAGAGTGTATAGGCATTCCCTTTTCTCTGTAGCCTTGCAAAAATCCGCGGTTATTATTATTATTATTATTTTGAGATGGAGTTTCACTCTTATTGCCCAGGCTAAAATGCAATGGCACAATCTCAGCTCACTGCAACCTCCTTCTCCTAGGTTCAAGTGATTATCCTGCTTCAACCTCCCGAGTAGCTGGGATTATAGACATGCGCCACCATGCCCAGCTAATTTTTTGTATTTTTAGTAGAGACCGGGTTTCATCATGTTGGCCAGGATGGTCTCGAACTCCTGACTTCAGGTGATCCACCTGCCTCAGCCTCCCAAAGTGCTGGGATTACAGGCATGAACAACCACATCCGGCCAAGATGTTTTTTAAAACTAGAATTTTATACTCCTCATTAATACTTTTCCTTCCTGGCATCTCTTTAATTTCTTAGGGCACACACTGAGGCAGATGGCATCTCACTGTTAATCAACAACAAAAAGCCTTAAATTATGCTAGAAACCACTATAGCAATGTCTGTGTCAAGAGGCTGTCTGCATATCTAAATGTACATTTCACAGTACAGCAAACACTTTTATTGAACTACATTATCTGTCAGATTGCCTAAGGCACTGAAATAGAAAATTCCTAGTTCTTGCTGTATTTTGCTAGGTTATACATTAGTTTCTTTTGTTGGTTTTTGCTATGAGAGGACCAAAAAGATAGAAACCACAGTATCTGTTTTAATATTCTTTTTTTTTGAGACAGGGTGACACTCTGTCACCCAGGCTGGTGTAATCACAACTCACTGCAGCCTCAACTTCCTGGGTTCAAGCGATCCTCCCACCTCAGCCTCCCAAGTACCTGAGACCACAGGCATGTGACACCACACCTGGTGTGTTTTAGTATTTTCTTGTACACAGAGGGTTTTGCCATGTTTCCCAGGGTGGTCTCAAACTCCTGGGCTCAAAGGATC
>NC_000022.11:11547337-11631288 GCF_000001405.40 Homo sapiens
GATCAGGCCCAGGAACTGCTGCCTTGGGTAGCTTTGGAACAAGGCTCCTGCATCCTGGCCACTGCTTCAGCTCCAGGTATAGGTCAAATTGACCCAGTTACAACTCCAGTCACTGCTTCAGATGGTGCAAGCCATAACCTTGGTAGCTTCCATGTGGTGTTAGGCCTGTGGGTTTACCAAATGCAAGTAGTTGAGACTTGGGAGCCTCCACCTTTATTTCAAAGGATGTATGAAAAAGCCAGGATGTGCAGGCAGAAGCATGCTGCAGGGGTGGAGCCCTCATGGAGATCCTCTACTAAAACAATGGAGAAAAGAAATGTGGGGTGACAGTCCCCAGGCAGTCTCCCCACTGGGTCATGGCCTAGTAGATCTGTGAGGAGAGGATCACTGTCCTCCAGACCCCAGAATGGTAGATCTAGCTACAGCCTGCACCTTGCATCTTGAAAAGCCAGAGGCACAGAATGCCAGCCCATGAGAGCAGCTGTGGGGGCTGAACCATGCAAAGTCACAAGGTAGAACCTTCCCAAGGCATTAGCGTGCCCTGGAAATGGAACACAGGGTCAAAAATAATTATTTTGGAGCCTTACAATTGAATAAATGCCCTTCTGGGTTTTAGACTTTCATGGGTCCTGTGGCCCCTTTCTTTTGACTGATTTCTTCCTTTTAGAATAGGAGTATTTACCCAATGCCTCTGCCTCATTTGTATCTTGGAATAATCTAACTTGTTTTTTTACTTTACAGGCTTATAGGAGGAAGAAATTAGCTTTGTCTTAGATGAGACTTTTGACTTTTGAGTTAAGACTGAAATTAGTTAAGATTTTGGGGATTATTGGGAAGTCATGATTGTATTTTGAAATATGAGAAGGATATGAGATTTGGAATGGCCAGGGGCAAAATGATACAGTTTGGATGTATATTCCCACCAAAATCTTATATTGAAATATAATCCTCAATGTTGGAAGTGGGCCTAGAGGGGAGGTGATTGAATCATGAGGGCAAGATTTCCATGAAGAGTTTGGCATCATTTCCTTTGGTGCCATTCCCACAATAGTAAGTTTTTATCAGAGCTGGTTATCTACAAGTGTGTGTAGCACTTCCCCCCTGCCCTCGCACTTACCATGTGATGTGCAAGCACTGGATTTATTTTTCACCTTGTCAATTGTCAGAGGCTTCCCCAGAAGCAGAAGCCAGTGCTATGCTTTCTGTACAGCCTGTAGAACCATGAACCAATTAAACCTATTTTCTTTATAAATTAACCAGTCACTGATTACTTTTTATAGCAATATGAGAATGGCCTAATACATCCACCAAAAACTATTAGAGGTAATAACTTGAGTCAATTTGCAGAATACAAAATCAACATATACAAATCAGTAGGGTTTCTTTACGCCAACAGTCAACAAACTGAAAAAGAATTCAAAAATGTAATACTATTTGCAGTAGCCACAAATAAAACAAAATGTGTGGGAATTTACCAAAGGAATAAAAGTTCTCAACAATTAAAACTGTAAAACACTGATAAAAGAAATGAAAAAGGACCCAAAAGTTGGAAAGATATTTTTATGTTCATAGATTGGAAGAATCAGTATTTTTTTAAAAATGTCCATACAATCCATAGCAATCCATTCATTTCATTCCATCTCTATCAAAATAACAGGCCAGGGGCAGTGGCTCATGCCTGTAGACTCAGCACTTTGGGAGGCCGAATTTGGTGGATCACGAGGTCAGGAGTTCCAGACCAGCCTGGCCAACTTGGTGAAACCCCACCTCTACTAAAAATACAAAAAAAATAGCCAGGCATGGTGGCAGGTGCCTGTAATCCCAGCTATTCAGGAGGCTGAGGCAAAAAGTTGCTTGAACCCAGGAGGTGGAGGTTGCAGTGTGCCGAGATCACATCACTGCACTCCAGTCTAGGTGACAGAGCAAGACGCCATCTAAAAAAAAAAAAGAAGAAGAAGAAGAAGACATTCCTCACAGATATAGAAAAAAAATTCTGAAATTTATATGGAAACATCACAAAGTCAAAGCTATGCTGAGTATATAAAACAAAACTGGAGGAATTCCATTACCTGGTTTTAAATTATACTACTAAGTTATAGTAATTAAAACAGCATGACACTAGCATAAAAACAGACATTAAGACAGATAGAACGAAATAGAGACCTTAGAAAGACACTCATACAGCTAAATTAATTTTCAACAAAAGTGCCAAGAACATACAATAAAAAATAAGACAGTTTTTGTAATAAATAGGGCTGGTAAAACTGGCATTCTGTGTGAGGGACAAACATTCAGACCCTCATAACAGTGCTCTGGAATCCTATGTTGTGCAGAAAAGCAAGAGAGATCAGATTGTTACTGTGTCTGTGTAGAAAGAAGTAGACATAGGAGACTCCATTTTGTTCTGTACTAAGAAAAATTCTTCTGCCTTGAGATTCTGTTAATCTATAACCTTACCCCCAACCCCGTGCTCTCTGAAACATGTGCTGTGTCAACTCAGAGTTAAATGGATTAAGGGCGGTGCAAGATGTGCTTTGTTAAACAGATGTTTGAAGGCAGCACGCTCCTTAAGAGTCATCACCACTACCTAATCTCAAGTACCCAGGGACACAAAAACTGTGGAAGGCCGCAGGGACCTCTGCCTAGGAAAGCCAGTATTGTCCAAGGTTTCCCCCCATGTGATAGTCTGAAATATGGCCTCGTGGGAAGGGAAAGACCTGACCGTCCCCCAGCCCGACACCCGTAAAGGGTCTGTGCTGAGGAGGATTAGTATAAGAGGAAGGCATGCCTCTTGCAGTTGAGACAAGAGGAAGGCATCTGTCTCCTGCCCGTCCCTGGGCAATGGAATGTCTCGGTATAAAACCCGATTGTATGTTCCATCTACTGAGATAGGGAAAAACCGCCTTAGGGCTGGAGGTGGGACCTGCGGGCAGCAATACTGCTTTGTAAAGCATTGAGATGTTTATGTGTATGCATATTTAAAAGCACAGCACTTAATCCTTTACCTTGTCTATGATGCAAAGACCTTTGTTCACGTGTTTGCTGACCCTCTCCCCAAAATTGTCTTGTGACCCTGACACATCCCCCTCTCGGAGAAACACCCACGAATGATCAATAAATACTAAGGGAACTCAGAGGCTGGCGGGATCCTCCATATGCTGAACGCTGGTCCCCCGGGTCCCCTTATTTCTTTCTCTATACTTTGTCTCTGTGTCTTTTTCTTTCCTAAGTCTCTCGTTCCACCTTACGAGAAACACCCACAGGTGTGGAGGGGCAACCCACCCCTACACTATGTGAGGGACAAACCTTCAGACCACAGCAGGAGTGTTCTGGAATCCCCTGTGAGGAACAAACATTCAGACCCTCGTAGCAGTGTTCTGAAATCCTATGTGACAAACGTTTAGAACCCAGCAACAGTGTTCTGGAGTCCCATGCAAGGGATAAACATTCAGACCCTCATAGCAGTGTTCTGGAATCCTATGGGAGGGAGAGCTAAATTAATTTTCAACAAAAGTGCCAAGAACATACAATAAAAAATGAGACAGCTTTTGTAATAAATAGGGCTGGGAAAACTGGCAAGCCATAGGCAGAAGAATAAAACTAGAACCCTATTTCTTGCCACTTACAAAAATCAAATTAAAATGAATTAAAGACTTAAACCTAACACCTCAAACCATCAAACTTTTACAAGAAAACATTGGGGAAACTAGGTCATTGGTTTGGGCAAAAATTCCTTAAATAATGCCCCAGAAGCACAGACAACCAAAACAAACATGGGCAAATCGGATTACAGAAAGTCAGAAAGCCTTTTTAAAGTGAAGGAAACAAGAAACAAAGTGAAGAGAAAATCCACAGAATGAGAGAAAATATTTGTAAATTATCCATCTGAAAAGCAATTAATAGCTACATGATATGGTTAGGATTTGTGTCCCCACCCAAATCTCATATTGAATTGTAATCCCCAGATGTTGAGGGAGAGACTTGGTAGAAGGTGATTGGATCATGGGGGTGGTTTCCCCCATGCTGTTCTTCTGATAATGAGTGATTTCTCATGAGATCTGATGGTTTTATAAAGGACTCTTCCCCCTTTGCTTCACATACATGCTGTCTCGCCTGCTGTCATGTAAGAGGTGCCTGCTTCCCCATCTGCCATTATTGTAAGTTTCCTGAGGCCTCCCTGGCCATGTGGAACTGTGATTCAATTAAACCCATTTCCTTTATAAATTACCCAGTCTTGCCAGGTGTGGTGGCTCATGCCTGTAATCTCACCACTTTGGGAGGCTGATGTGGGTGGATCACTAGGCCAGGAGTTCAAGACCAGCCTGGCCAAGATGGTGAAACCCTGTCTCCACTAAAAATATAAAAATTAGCCAGGCATGGTGGCAGGTGCCTGTAATCCCAGCTACTCAGGAGGCTGAGGCAGAGAATTGCTTGAGTCAGGAGGTGGAGGTTGCAGTGAGCCAAGATTGCACCACTGCACTTCAGCCTGGGCAACAGATCAAGACTTCATCTCAGTAAATAAATAGATAACACAGTCTCAGGTATTTTTTTTTATAGCAGTGCAGGAACAGACTAATACACTACAATATATTGAGTTCAAAAAATTCTACAGAAAAAAGTAATAACCCAAATAAAGAGTGGACAAAAAATTTAAATAGACATTTATGAAAAGAAGACATACAAATGTCAAACAGACAAATGAAAAGGTGCTCCACATTACTGATCATCATAGAAATGCAAATCAAACCCAAAATGAGATATCGTTTCACCCTAGTTAAGGTGGCTTTTATTCAGAAGTCAGTGAAAAACAAATGCTGGTGAGTATGTGGAGTGAAGGGAACCCTTGTACACTGCTGTTGGGAGCACATTTAAGGACATTTTGGATGTTCCCAATATAATTAAAAATAGAGCTACTATATGGTCCAGGAATCCCACTGCTCAATATATGCCTACAAGAAATAAAATTGGTAAATCAAAGACCTATTGGCACTCTCATGTTTGCTACAGCAGGGTTTATAATAGCCAAGATTTGGAAGGAACCTAAATGTCCATCAACAGATGACTGGATAGAGAAAATGTGGTACATATACACAATGGAGTACTATTCAGCTGTAAGAAAGAATGAGAGCCTGTCATTTGCAATAACATAAATGGAACTGAAAGTCTTTATGTTAAGTGAAATGTCAGGCACAGAAATACAAATGTCACATCGTCTCACTTATTTGTGGGTGCTAAAATTCAAAACAATTGGTGTCATAGAGATAGAGAGTATAAGGATGGTTACCAGAGGCTGGCAAGGGCAGGGAGGGAACAAGGGGATAGTGGGGATGCTAAATGGGTAAAAAAACAATTGTTAGAAAGAATGAATAAGACAGCATTTGATAGCACAACAGGGTGATTATAGTAAAAAATAATTTAATTCCACATTTAAAAAAACTAAAAGAGTATAATTGGATTGTTTATAACACAAGCTATAAATGCTTGAGGGGACAGATACCATGTTTTTTATTATGTATTACTCATTGCATGACTGCATCAAAGTATGTCATGTACCCCCATAAATATATACACCAACTATGTACCCACAAAAATAAATTAAAAATTAAAATTAAAATTAAAATTAAAACCAAAGGGAGGAGAGTATAATGAGAGATGTGTGACCCATGGCTTGAACTAGCTTTTCAGGTTAACTTTGGAATGTCCTTATTCAAGAAGAGAGGTCTATTTAGTCAACAGGAGTTTAGAAATTTATTTTTAGTTTATAAATGGAAAAAAGAAGGATTTTTAATCCTGAGCCATAGTTCTCAGGCAATCAATCCCTGCAGGGAGCCCTGTTCTTTACTCTGGAGATAAACACTAGTTTTCTTTTCCATGGAATAACACCGCATTTCAAAATGAGGGGAAACATCTTGAAACTAAGAGGTACAGCTTTATTAAATTTGATTTGGTTTCCATTGTAATTAATTTAATCACATGTGTTCTAGAGTTTGTCCTCAGTCTTCCCCTAGTTTAGGCCCATAATCTGTTGAATTTGCTCAGCTCCCTGCTCAACAGCAGGAAATCAGAATTATTTAAAAACCTCATTGTTGCTGGGAGTGGTGGCTCTTGCCTGTAATCCCAGCAATTTGGGAGGCCAAGGTGGGCAGATCGCTTGTTGTCAGGGGTTCGAGACCAGCCTGGCCAACAGAGTGAAACCCCATCTCTACTAAAGATACAAATATTAGCTGGGTGTGGTGATTCATGCCTGTAATCCCAGCTACTTGGGAGGCTGAGGCAGGAGAATTGCTTGAACCCGGGAGGCACAAGTTTCAGTGAGCCAAGATAGTTCAGTGCACTGCAGCCTGGGCAACAGAGCAAGACTCTGCCTCAAAATAATAATAATAATAATAATAATAATAATAATAATAATAATAATAAATAAGTAAAAATAAAAATCTCATTGTGTTTTAAACAAAATTTCTTTTGAATATCAACTATATCAACTTGCATATTAACTATAATCATTTTGTTTACTTTATATCCAATCTTGAGAAATCTTTGAGGACTAATTTCACTCTTTTCTGCCATTTTGGTAAACATACCAAATGCCATCAAACAAAATGCACAAAATTCCTGAGAAATACATTTTCTCCTTGAGGATTAGACTTGCTGTGTTAGAGGAACTCATGGTTACCTAGCTTCTAGTTTAATAAACATGACTAGAATATTCTATCTTAATATGAGTAGATAGGTACTCACAAGGCATCTAGAAGGTTAATGTTCATGGTCTGAAAATAGTCACATTTTTTAACTGGCCACAAATTACAATTGCAGAGTATGTGTGATCATACAAGACATCTTCCACCAAGTCTGAAAAATGTATAAATGTCCTAGGAATGCAGCATTTTTTTGTAAGGATATTATTAATGAGGTAGCTTAGGTCAATGGGTTAATGGTTATTGTTAAAACCAATAGCCCCGACTTTAGTGACTACATCTGCACCTTCCAAGTTTAATTTTAACTCTTTCTTTTTATAGTTACTTATAAGTAGAGACACTAACAAAAGACAATGCATTCCTCCTCTTGTTTTCTGAGGATGTCCAACTCTGTAATGGAATAATTTCTAATAAACTTGCTTCTTTCACTGTGCTCTCTGACTCACCTCAAATTTTTTCCTGCACAAGATCTAAGAATCCTACTTTGTGGTCTGTATCAGGACCCTCTTTTCCAGCAACATCTTTCAGCAACACCATGAACAGACACCAAGACAAGACCCCCACTCCAAGGAAAACAATCTACACAGAATCAATCAGCTGACACCTGGCAAGTGTGCTGTCTTTTAGAATCGTGAAGCCATTCTGGTGGGCAAGTATGATTATCCACTATTATCATACTCAGATTAGAGGCCAAGCCCACAGGGTTAGAGGCCCTGGGAAATATTGAGAAGAATGGATTTGGCTAAACAAGATGTTTGCCACTTTCTCTTTTTGGACTGTCCACCTTGTGCTCTCTGTCCCTTACCTGAGTGCTCTACATCTTGTCACCTTTCTGCTCACCGCCTCTGTTTTGTAATAGCCTGGAGGCTGCCCCAGGACAGAGGCCCCAAACAGTTTAGTTTTATTTTCTTCAGCGATCCTCTGACTCTTAACTGACTGCTTGTTTAATTTGCCACTGGTCCAAGTGACACTGAAAAAAATAATTGTCTCGGGACCTAGTATTTTTGTACCTTAATTATCAGAAAAGATCAGCAGCAACCTTGCCATCATTATGGCTAGAAGTTGAAATGTGGTATTTAAGAGCTATACATGATAAGATCAGATATGCGTGTTTAATGACAGCCTCTTTTATGACAACCCTCTGCAAACAATTACCCTCAAGATGGAGAACGTGAGACTTTTTCTTAACAGTTTTCTCTCATTTCTTAACCATAACGCCATCTTTGATCAGCTGGTATAGGGCAGCTGGACCCTACTTTCTAAACCCAGCATGTCACTTTTTTCCTGAGAGAGTTTTGTCAGTTTTGTCATAGCAGTGTGAAAATGGACTAATACATTACAATATACAAGTTACAGCCTTCCCATTTCCCCTGTTTGATCTGACTCCTATTTTGCAGCTTAACTTGTTTTATAGAAGAGAAACTAAGAGAGAGGAAATACATTATATACAGGCTTCTCTGATGCTTGGTCAGGATAAAAAATTAAAATGGACTTCTATATGTTTGATGCAGGAAAAGATAAAATGGGGACGGCATGTAATTGATTACCTTTTTAATGCAAGTGCCTCTTAATATTAGGCTCTTCTTAGCTGGGGCTGAACTCCCCCTTCCAGTCCAAGCACCCCATAAGAACACAGACTCCTTCCAGTTCTAGTGAGGTGTGCAACATGTTATTAATTTCCTCTAGTTTTCCAAGGTTATCTAGTGTCCGGTCATCATCTTCTCCATGCCCTTCGAGTCCTGTCTTACGTACATACCCCACTCTCGAAACACCCGAGCTTCACCAGAACAACATGCCGTGGGGCCTCTTATCAGCTGGCAAAGTTGAATGTTTGCCCTCTCTGGGAAGTGACAGATGATAATAGGGACAGTATATTGAAGGAGTGGCCTGTCCCTCCACACCTGTGGGCGTTTCTCATCAGGTAGAACGAGATACTTGTGAAAAGAGACGCAGAGACAAAGTATAGAGAAAAAGTGGGCCCAGGGGACCAGCGCTCAGCATACGGAGGACCCACGCCGGCACCAGTCTCTGACTTTCCTTAGTATTTATTGATCATTATCGGGCATTTCTTGGAGAGGGGTATGTGGCAGGACAATAGGATAATAGTGGAGAGAGGGTCAGCAAGAAAACACATGAACAAATGTCTCTGCATCATAAACAAGGTAAAGAAAAAAGTGCTGTGCTTTTGATGTGCATATACATAAACATCTCAGTGCCTTAAAGAGCAGTATTCCCTCCAGCATGTCTCACCTCCAGCCGTAAGGCAGTTTTCTCCTATTTCAGTAGATGGAATATACAATCGGGTTTTCCACTGAGACATTCCATTGCCCAGGGACGAGCAAGAGACAGATGGCTTTGTCTTATCTCAACTGCAAAAAGGCCTTCCTCTTTTATTAATCCTCCTCAGCACAGACCCTTTACAGGTGTCAGGCTGGTGGATGGTCGTGTCCTTCCCTTCCCATGAGGCCATATTTCAGACTATCACATGGGGAGAAACCTTGGACAATACCTGGCTTTCCTAGGCAGTGGTCCCTGTGGCCTTCCGCAGTGTTTTGTGTCCCTGGGTACTTGAGAATAGGGTTTAACAAGCATGCTGCCTTAAAGCATTTGTTTAACAAAGCACATCCTGCATATCCCTAAATCCATTAAACCTTGAGTCGACACAGCACATGTTTCTGTGAGCACAGGGTTGGGGTTAGGGTTACAGATTAACAGCCTCTCAAGGCAGAAGAATTTTTCTTAGTACAGAACAAAATGGAGTGTCTTATGTCGACTTCTTTCTACATAGACACAGTAACAGTCTGATCTCTCTTTCTTTTCCCCACACTATATAGGTATGTGTACACTTTTCTATATCTGAATTAGCCATATGCAAGGAAAAACTAAAACAGTTTTCAGAAGTTCCGGGAAAATTCATAGACAAATTTAAAAGGCTAACTTTGACGTATGATCTGACCAGGTAGGATTTGCATATATTTATGTTTACCTGCTGCATGGTAGAAAAGCAGTGCATGATGGGAGTGGCTAGAGCACATGCTAATAGGGTGGCAGCCTGCAACAAGGGGCAAGACACCTATCAAATAGGAGGCATAGCAGTGCCTGACTAGGACCCAAAAGAACTAGAATCTAGAAAAGACAAATGAATTAAGAAGAAAGTGTGATATAGAGAGAAAAAATTATGATCATTTGACTCCTTGAATGAATAAAAAAGTGTGATAAAGCTTTTTAATTTTTATAAAGTCTGGAAAATTACTCAGGGAAAAGATGAAAACCTAGCCTTATTACAAGGGTGGATAATTTAGACCTTGAGGAAATACACTAACACTGACCCTGACTCCAAGAAGGGACAACATTGCTAGGAGTTTATTTTATAGCCCGGTCTGCTTCTGATATCTATAGGAAGCCACCAAAAGCAGCCTTAGGCTTCCAGACTCCCATGGATCAGATTTTAGACTTGGATTTTGCAGTTTTCCATCACAGGAATTCGGCAGAGAAAACATAAAATAAAGCAAATCTTCCAAGAGGCCCAGCTTCTAGCTGCAGCCTTGTGCTCTCCACCACTTCAGAGGCAGCCCCTTAACCCCTGGCCCTCACAGAGGAAGTGAGAAGGTGAAAGTCCCAGTCTGTGCCTCTGGGCCACCATGCCTTGGATATAAATCAATGTGCCTTCTGTAGGAAGGTCAGCCACTGCCGAAGGAAATGCACTGTGCTTCCAAGGGAGCCATCATCAGAGCCCAGCAGAATCAAAAGTGGCAGGGCCTGATACTTCCTACCTCTGCTCCCATTGGACTATTAGCTATCGAGAGATGGAGGAGCCTCAGGTGACTCTTGAAGTAGTAGGTAGGAGTATTAACTTCGTATTAGGTGTGGGAGCAGATTACTCTGTCCTGATTCAATACAATGGGCTCCTGTCTTCTCATGATGGACAAGCCCCAAAACACTCCTTTTTGTATCTTCTAAGTTGTCCTCCAGAGCCTCTAGCTATCTTGCCTGCCTTTTTAGTACTGTCTGATTGCCTGACCTCTTACTGGGGAGAGGCTTATTGACTCAGGAGACCAAGTCATGGTCAACTTCACAGATCATAAAGCATAGAAAGTGTTACTTTTGTTCCTGACCCCTCAGGGGAAAAAAGAAGTTAAGAATGAGCTGTCACATTTACCACCTGAGATGTTGTCTCAAGTAAATCTTGAGGTTTGGTCCACACAGGCTCTGGGAAACCACTAAACACCTCCCCCATTCAAATCCAACTTCAGCCTAGTGCTCCTCGCCCTCAGAAGAGACAATACATTTTAAGGCAAGAAGCATGAGGGGAAATTCAACCCCTTATTGCCAAATTCTTGCCATATGAGTTATTAAGGCCATGAGAGTCTCCTTACAATACTCGCATGTTACCAGATAAAAAGCCTAATGGCAAGTACAGATTTGTCAGAACCCTTAGAGCATTAAGAAATGCAGTTGTCTCCGTACACCTCATTGTCCCAAATACTTACCAAGTCCCAGGGGATGCAAGCTGGTTTACATTCTTATATCTGAAAGATGCACTTTTCTGGATCTCAATGCATCCAGATTCATAATATGTTTGCCTTTGAATGGAATGATCCAGATACGCATTCAGCCTCAAAACTAACCTGGACAGTCATCTCTGAAGGGTTCTGGGATAGACCCCGCTTATATGAAAATGCTCTAGTTAAGGACTTAACAAATCTACAATTGGAAAGGGACACAATTATTCAGTACGTAGGTGACTTGCTCATTGCTAGCCCAACTAAAGAAGACTCATAATAATACTGTTAAGTTGGTAAATTTCCTGGGAACTTGCAGATATAGGGCATCACCACACAGGGCTCAGATTTTGACTGAAAGACTTAAATATTTGGAATCTGTCTTAACCTCTGGAACTGATCAACATCCCTAGAGATAAGAAAGTTATTTTAGTCACCCAAGGGTCCCTGTACAAAAAATGACTGTGGGCTTTTTTAGGAGATGGCTGGGTACTGCTGCTTATGGGTGCCCAGATTTGGGCATGTAGCCAAGCCTTTATATGATACATTAAAGGGAAAGATTTAGAGCTCCTAGAATGTAATGAGAACTGCAAGCAAACCTTCAATACTCTCAAGGAGAAATTGGGCTCTGCTGCAGAAGTGGGAGTCCCCAAGTTGGATGAACCATTTTTTCTTTATGTGACCAAAAATCAAGGCATAGGCCTTGGGTAATCTTGTCCCAAAACGGGGGGACATTCCAAGGCCAGTAGCCTAATTTTCTAAGCAGATAGACCAGGTGGCCTCAGGGTGGCCTTGATGTCTTAGAGCTATTGCTGCTACCAGTTTTCTAGCAGACAAAGCTAATAAACTAACATTAGAAGAGCACCTACAGGTTTTTGACCCCACACCAAGGGAAGGTGGTCCTAGAAGCTAAAGGGCAGGAGTGGATAATAGGAGAACATTTATGAAAGTATCAGGCCTTATTGCTGGACCCTCCAGACATAATCCTTAAAGCCTGCCAAACCATAAACCCAGCTGCTTATCTGCCAGAGTCCACAGGTACTTCTAGCCTTTCTGGCATACAGGTTGTATTAGTCTGTTCTCATGCTGCTAATAAAGACATATCTGAGGCTGGGTAATTTATAAAGAAAAGAGGTTTAATTGACTCACATTTCCACGTGGTCGGGGAGGCCTCACACTCATTGCAGAAGGCAAATGAGGAACAAAGTCACATCTCTGACATGGCAGCAGGCAAAAGGGCTTGTGTAGGGAAACTCCCCTTTATAAAACCATCAGCTGTAATCCCAGCACTTTGGGAGGCCAAGGCAGTGGATGAGCTGAGGTGAGGAGATCGAGGACACCCTGGCCAACATGGTGAAACCCCATCTATACTAAAAGTACAAAAATTAGACAGGCATGGTGGTAGGCACCTCTAATCCCAGCTACTCAGGATGCTGAGACAGGAGAATCGCTTGAACCCAGGAGTCAGAAGTTGCAGTGAGCCAAGATCACGTAAATGCACTCCAGCCTGAGCAACAGAGCAAGACTATGTCTCAAAAATAAATAAATAAACCATTAGATCTCATGAGGCTTTTTCACTGTCACAAGAACAGCATGAGAAAGACCCATCCCCCGATTCGATTACTTCCCACTGGGTCCCTCCCACGATATATAGGAATTATGGGAGCTAAAATTCAAGATAAGATTTGACTGGGGACAGAGCCGAAGCATGTCATAGGTTATGAAACAAATTGATTCTAGCAGGCTAGACTTAAGAGAGATGAGCCCCTTGACCATCCCAAGGAAGAGTGGTTAACAGATGCAAGTTGTTTTATGCATCAGGAGAACAGGAGGGCTAGGTATGCTATTAGTAGTCAGCACAAGAGAATCAAGGCACAAGCCTTGCTGGCTTCGACCTCAGCCCAAAAAGCTGAGTTAATTGAACTTACTCAGCCCCTGCAGTTGGGAAAGGATTTAAAAGTTAACATTTACACTGATTTCAAGTATGATTTTTTAGTGCTTCATGGTTATGCTGCAATTTGGAATGGGTAGGGACTGCTGACCCCCAAGAGTTTTCCATACAACATCATTCAGATTTTGAGCTTGTTAGAATGCTGCTTTGCTGTCAAAAATTGACTATAATTAATCTCAGAGGACATCAAAAGAGAGACTGGCCATGTAAAAGGAAATGCCCTTGTAGATGCCAAGCCAAGGCCCCTGCACTGAAAGGGCCAATGAAGCTTATGGGCGTGCTGGTCAGCATACATAGAACTGGGCCGGAATACTCTGAAGAAGAATAAAAATGGGCCAGGGATTGCATTTCAGTCCAGGGTCCCTCTGGCTGGCTGAATGATGGTAATAAATTACTAATGCCAAGTACCAATCATAGGAATATAATTCAGCACTTTCATGATTCTTTTCACCCTAGAAGGGATTCCTGGCTTCTGTTAATGTCTCATTTGTTTATAGGGGTAAATCTTTTCAAGACAGAAAAGCAGGTGACTCAGCCCTGTGAGCTCTGTGACTGACATGACCCAAACCACCAGCGATTTTCTCCTTCTCCAGGTAAACCTGTCCAAAAATTGAGGAACCTACCCAGGTGAGAACTGGCAACTCTAATTTACTCAGCTACCTTTCTGCAGGAGATTCAAATATTTGCTAATGCTTACTGATGCCTTCGCTAGTTAGATCGAGGCATTCCGCACCCCATCTGAAAAATGTTTACCAGAAGAAATAACTCCTCAGTTTGGGTAATCTAAAAGCCTGCAAAGTGGCAATGGCCCGTCTTTCACAGCAGGTGTATCCCAACACCTATCCTCAGCTTTAAGAATCCAATATTACCTTCACTCTGTGTGCAGACCGCAGTCCTCTGGAAAGGTGAAAGGGCTAATCCTACTCTAAAGAAGACTCTAGCTAAATCAGACGCCTGACTATCTCCAACACCCATAGCTTACAGCGGGTTTGAACTGCTCCAAAGTAAAACTTATAATAAAATCCTGTTGAGTTAACATTCGGAAGACCTTTCCTAAGCACAGATCTCCTAATAGATGAAAAGATTTATCAATTACAAAAATATGTCATCAATCTAGGACAGGTGCAAAGGCACTCTGCGAATATGGAAACAAGAGTCTTCCCCTCCCACATGGGAGGAAAATTCAGTTTCAGCTCAGCTGGGGATTTAGTCTTACTAAAGATGTGGGAGGAAGTTCTCCAGCTGACCAGCTTTCCCCAACGTGGAAAGGACCACAACAAGGGCACCTGAGCTCTCCAAGAGGCGTTCGATCCAAGGGATTCACAGGTAGGTACACCTGTGTGGAAGTAAAGCTGTTGCTTATTCTGGGAGCTGAATCCAAGGCTGAGGGAGGTGGGCGAAGGGATATTTCAGCGTTGGCGGAGGGCGGACTGGGTAGCTGAGCGTCTGCTCCTCCTTTTCGCGTTTCTCCTGCCGCTCTAATCCCGCCTTGGGCATGAGGAAAATAGTGCTCACGCAGACCGGGCAGTGCGGGAACCAGATCGGCGCCAAGGTTGTATTTGACTCCATAAAAATTAAAATTTTGTATGAGAGAAAAATGTCTCAAAGTCAAAAGTCAACAGACTGGGGAAATAGATCTGCAACATAAATGACAGACAAAAAGCTAATTTGGGATATAGATAGATAGATAGATAGATAGATAGATAGATAGATGTAAATATCCGTTTTCAACACCATTTAAAAAAATACCGTCCTTTCCCCATTGAACAGAGTTGACGCCCTTGTTAAAAATCATGACCATATTTTTTGGTTCTTTGTTTCTATTGCATTGGTCTTTGTGTCTGTCTCTATGCTGGTACAGCATTATTTTGGGTACTGAAGTTTGAAACCAGGAGGTGTTAGTCCTCTTACTTTGTTAGTTTTTAAGATTGATTTGGCTGCTTGGGGTTTTTTGAGATTTCATCTGAATTTTAGAACAGGTTTTTCTGTTTTTGCATATATTGGAATTTTTACAGTGATTTTATTGAATCTGTAGATGACCATAGATAACAATGGCACCTTGACAATATTTTATCTTCTAGTCCATAAACACATGATGTCTTTTCACTTATTTGTGTCATCTTTAATACTTTCATGCCATGTTTATAGTTTTTGCTGTACAGGTTTTTCATTTCCTTGGTTAAATGGGTTTCTAAGTGTTTTATTCTTCTGATGCTATCATACATGATACTGTTGTCTTGATTTCTTCTTCATATAATTTATTGTTATTGTAGAAATACAACTGATTTTTGTGTATTGATTTTGTATCTTGCAGTTTGCTGAATTTTATTTATTGCATCTGACAGTTTATTTCACAGAAACTAAAAGATTTTTAATATATAAGGTTATGTCATCTGCAAACAGATAATTTTACTTTCTAAAAAATTGGAATATCTTTAATTCTTTTACTCACCTTATTGTTTTAACTAACCAGAACCTTCAGTACTATATTAAATAGAAGTAGTAAAAGCACGCATCCTTGTTTTTGCTCTTAGGGTAAAAGCTTTCAGTCTTTCACCATGTTAGCTGTGTTTTTTTGGTTTGTTTTTTTTTTGTATAGCATTATGTTAAGGTGTTTTATTTCTTTTTATAGTTTATTAAGTATATTTTATCATGAATGTGGGTTAAATTTTGACAAATGCTTTCTCTTCTTTGATTAAGATGATCACATGAGGGTTTTTTCCTTCTTAATGTGATATTACGCTGATTTTCATGTGTTGGAACATACTTTTATTTCAGGAGTCAATTATACTCATTCATAGTGTATAATCCTTTTAATGTACTGCTAAGTTTGAGTTGCTGGTATTTTGTTGAGGATTTTTGCATCAGCATTTATAAGGGATGTTTGTTTGTAGTTTTCTTATGGTGCCTTTTTCTGGCTTGGTGTCAGGGTAATACTGGCCTCATAGAATAAGTTAGAAAAAATTACCTCCTCTTCAAAGTTTTGAAAAAGTTTGAGAAAAAGTGGTGTTAATTCTGCTTTAAACATTGGGTGGAATTCAACAGTGAAGCCATCTGGTCCAGGCTTTTCTTTGTGCTGGGTTTTTGATTACTGATGCAATCTTCCTGCTGAATCTCCTTGCTCAATAGGTTTATTCAACTTTTCTGATTCAGTCTTAGTAGGTTTTTTGTTTCTAGGAATTTGTTCATTTTATTTAGGCTATTCAATTTTTTAGTGTATAGTTCCTCATGGTACTCTCCTACATCCCTTTTTTACTCCAAAAATTTGTTAGTAATGTACCCATTTTATTTTTGAGTTTAGTAATTTGAATATTACCTTTTTTCTTAATCAATCTAGATAAAATTTTGTCAGTTTTGATCTTTTTCAGAGAAGAAACTAGGTTTTGTTGATTTTTGATATTGATTTTCTATTCTCTATTTCACTTATTTCCACTGCTATCTTTATCATTTTTTAAATTTTTCTAGTTTTTAGTTGTCCCTCTTTAATAGTCCCTCTTTTTCCCTCTGTTTTTAGTTCCTTAGGAGTAAAGTTGTTGATTTGGTATCTTATTTTTTATAATCATTTATAGCTATAAATTTTTCCCTTATGGTACTGTTTTTGATGTATCTCTTAACTTTTGATATTTCATGTTCTTAATTTGTCTCTAGATATTTTCTATTTTCTCTTGTGATTTCTTCTTTTATCCATCCTTGAGTGTTTCATACCTATATTTTTAGACATAAAATGTGTAACCTACAAAATTTTCTTGATTTGTTACAGCTTTATTTGTTGTAAGCTTTTATTTCATAATTAAATGTGTGTATCAACATTTGTTATGTTCTTATAAACTTTGAAATATATGTAGATTCCTGGTCCACATATGTAAGTGTCTACATGAATATTATTTTGAAGCATTTAACCTTCTGTTTTAATATTTCAAAGGTCTAAATGAAATTGAGATTTTGGTTTCTGAGATGAAATCATGGTAGGTGACTGAGAAATGCTTAAAAATTAGCCAAAACTTAAAATTAAGTTAAAGTTTACCTTTAAGATTCAACCTGAATAAGTCACCCTGTATTGCTGGTAATAAACAATAAGTCTTTAATGGTATAAAAGGAACTTCAGAGAATGTTTTCCTTTCCCCAGTTGACATATAAATTAAAAGATGTAAAAAATTTTTATGTCCTTATGGATTTTTTACTTTAGAATTCCAACTTTTTCTGGTTAAATTTTTTCCAAACAGATTCCTGTGTATTTGAAAGACAAATAATTTTTTAGTTGAAATGCTTAAGCAGTTAAATAAGGCCATGAAAGTTTCTTGAACTTGTGGGAATCCATGAGAAAATCTGACATTATGTTCTATTCTCTTGGAAGGTAGAAATATCATTTGACTTCTGTTTTGCTGACAAGAAATGTCCTGAGCAAGACTACCTGGGACAATGACCTCACACATGGAAAACTTTGGAGCCCATCTGTTTCCAATCTGCTTTTTTCCAAAAATTAGGGAAGTTCAGTTTTCCCTTTGATACTCTCTGTTACTACCAATCCCAATGCCAGGGCTGTCCTGCTTCTACAAGTGACAATGACAAATATAGGCCTGAAGAAAGATGAGCTGATGGCTTTCCCAGCTTATTACCTCTACTTGGGGGTCTTATCTCACATACATGGACTCAACTCATAGACTCAGCTGGGTGAGGATCTATTATTCAGCTACATTAGAAGTGACTGCTTAAGACTCAGGTGTGTGGTGAAATGAGGCAGAATTTTCTCAATGGAGTGTTAGGAGAATTTTCTCCTCATAACTACCATCTTACTATCACTAAATCATAGCTAAAATGAGGACATTATTCAAGAAGAAATAGAAATGTAATCTTAGGAAGACATAAATTTAGAGATTTGTGGAGAGCTCTTCATAATTTTATGGTGTTCTCTTTGAGCTGGGATTATAGTTGACTTTTCATTATAATATATTAGCTGTTCTAGACTTTATGCATTTATGGAAAGTTTTCTTTGTTGTACTTTAAGTTCTGTGATACATGGGCAGATCATGCAGGTTTGTTACATAGTTATACAAGTGCTATGGTGGTTTGCTGCACCCATCAATCCGTCATCTACATAGGTATTTCTCCTAACGCTATTCCTCCCCTAGCCTCCCACCCCATGACAGGTCCCAGTGTGTGATGTTCCCCTCCCTGTGTCCATGTGTCCTCATTGTTCAGCTCCCACTTATGAGTGAGAACATGCAGTGTTTGGTTTTCTTTTCTTTTTTCTTTTTCTTTCTCTCTCTCTCTCTTTTTTTTTTTTTTTTGAGACAAAGTTTCACTCTTGTTGCCCAGGTTGGAGTGCAATGGCGTGATCTCGGCTCAACACAACCTCTGCCTCCTGGGTTCAAGCGATTCTCCTGCCTCAGCCTCCCAAGTAGGTAGGATTACAGGTATGTGCCAACATGCCTGGCTAATTGTTTGTATTTTTAGTAGAGATGGGGTTTCTCCATGTTGGGCAGGCTGATCTCAAACTCCCCACCTCAGCCTCACAAATTTCTGAGACTACAGGCATGAGTCACTGCTCCTGGCCTGGTTTTCTTTTCTTGTGTTAGTTTGCTGAGAATGATGGTTTCCAGCTTCATCCATGTCCCTGGAAAGGACACAAATGCACAGTATTCCATGGTGTATATGTGCCACATTTTCTTTATCCAGTTTATCATTAATGGGCATTTGGGTTGGTTCCAAGTCTTTGCTATTGTGAACAGTGCCGAAATAAACATGCAGTGTTGAAATAAACATACAGTGCATGTGTCTTTATAGTATAATAATTTATAATGCTTTGGGTATATAACCTATAATGGGATTGCTGGGTCAAATGGTATTTCTGGTTCTATATCTTTGAGGAATTTTCACACTGTCTTCCACAATGACTGAACTAATTTACACTCCTTCCAACAGTGTAAAAGCATTCCTATTTCTCCACAGCCTCATCAGCATCTGCTGTTTCCTGACTTTTTAATAATCGCCATTCCAACTGGCGTGACATGGTATCTCATTGTGGTTTTGATTTGCATTCATCTAATGACCAGTGATGATGAGCTTTTTTTCATGTTTGTTGGCCACATAAATGTCTTCTTTTGAGAAGTGTCTGCTTGTTTCCTTTGCCCACTTTTTGATGGGGCTGTTTTTTTCTTGTAAATTTGTTTAAGTTCTTTGTAGATTCTGGATATTAGCCCTTTGTCAGACAGATAGATTGCAAAAATTTTCTCCCAATCTGTAGGTTGTCTGTTCACTCTGATGATAGTTTATTTTGCTGTGCAAAAGCTCTTTAGTTTAATTAGATCCCATTTGTCAATTTGGGCTTTTGTTGCATTGCTTTTTGTGTTTTAGTCACAAAGAATTTGCCCATGCCTATGTCCTGAATGGTATTGCCTAGGTTTTCTTCTTTGGTTTTAGGTCTTAGGTTTAAGTCTTTATTCCACATTGAGTTATTTTTTGTATAAGGAAGATGTCCAGTTTCAGTTTCTGCATATGGCTAGCCAGTTTTCCCAACATGATTTATTAAACAAGGAATCCTTTCCCCATTGCTTGTGTTTGTCAGGTTTGTCAAAGATCAGATGGTTGTATGTGTATGGTCTTATTTCAGAGTTCTCTATTCTGTTTCATTGGTTGTTTTTGTACCAGTACCATGTTGTTTTGGTTACTGTAGCATTATAGTGTAGTTTGAAGTTGGGTAGTGTGATGCCTCCAGCTTTGTTCTTTTTGCTTAGAATTGCCTTGGCTATTTGGGCTCTTTTTTGGTTCATGAGAATTTTAAAATAGTTTCTTCTAATTCTGTGAAGAATGTCATTGGTAGTTTAATGGGAATAGCATTGAATTATTTTATAAATTACTTTGGGCAGTATGGACATTTTCAGGAATGAATTCTTCCCTATCCATGAGCATGGAATGCTTCTCCATTTGTTTGTGTCCTATCTGATTTCTCTGAGAAGTGGTTTGTCGTCCTCCTTGAAGAGGTTCTTCACTTCTCTTGTTAGCTGTATTCCTATGTATTTGATTCTCTTTGTAGCAATTGTGAATGAAGTTCATTCACGATTTGGCTCTCTACTTGCCTGTTGTTTGTGTATAGGAATACTAGCAATTTTTGCACACTGATTTTGTATCCTGAGATTCTGTTGATGTGGTTTATCAGCTTAAGAAGCTCTTAGGCTGAGATGATGGGGTTTTCTAGATACAGGATCATGTCATCTGCAAACAAAGATAATTTGACTTCATCTCTTCCTATTTAAATACCGTTATTTCTTTTTCCTGCCTGATTGCCCTGGCCAGAAATTCCAGCACTACATTGAATAGGAGTGGTGAGAGAGGCCATCCTTTTCTTGTGCCAGTTTTCAAGGGGAATGCTTCCAGCTTTTGCTCACTCAGTATGATATTGGCTGTGAGTTTGTTATATATGGCACTTATTATTTTGAGGTGTGATCTTTCAATACCTAGTTTATTGAGAGTTTTTAACATGAAGGGATGTTGAATTTTATTGAAGGCCTTTTCTGCATCTATTGAGATAATCGTGTTGTTTTTGTGTTTATTTCTGTTTATGTGATGAATTACATTTATAGATTTGCCTGTGTTGAACCAACCTTGTATCCCAGGGATGAAGCCGTCTTGATCGTAGTGGATCAAGGTACCCTTATCAGTCTTAAGTTCAGTCTTTTTACATAATCCCATATTTCTTGAAGGTTTTGTTGTTCTTTCTTTTTTATTCTTCTTTCTCTATTCTTCTCTTCCTGTCTTATAACAGACAGATAGTTTTGAAGCTCTGAGATTCTTTCCTCCGCTTGGCCTATTCTGTGAGTGATAGTTGTGGTTGTGTTGTGAGGTTCTCATGCTGTGTTTTTCAGCTCCATCCTGTCTCTAAAATGAATATTCTGGTTATCAGCTACTGTGTTCTTTCATGATTTTTAGCTTCTTGCATTAAGTTAGAACTTCTCCTTTAGCTCAGGGATGTTTGTTATTACCCACCTCCTAAAGCCTACTTTTGTCAATTCAGCCATCTCAGCCTCGGGTCAGTTTTGTGCCCTTGCTGGGGAGGTGTTGTTGTCATTTAGAGGAGAAGAGGCATTCTGCCTTTTTGAGTTTTCAGCGTTTTTGTGTTGATGCTTTCTCATCTTTGTGGGCTTATCTACCTTTGATCTTTGACATTGCTGACCTTTGAATGGAGTTTTTGTGGGGTTTTTTGTTGATGTTGTTGTTGTTGTTTTGTTTGTTTTTAACAGTCAGACCACTCTTCCCTACGGCTAGGGCTGATATGGATTTTGGGGGTCCACTCTGGACACTAGTCACCTCAGTCTCTCCTGCACCTGGAGGTATCACCAGTGAAGTCTGTGAAACAGCAAAGCTGGCAACCTGACCCTTCCTCTGGGAGCACCAGTCCAAGGGGCTACTGACTTGATGCCAGCTGGAACACTTCTGTAGGAGGTGTCTGGAGACTCCTATTGTGAGGTCTCACTCAGTCAGGAGGAACAGGATCAGGGACTGCTTAAAGAAGCAGTCTGGCTGCCCTTTGGCAGAGCAGGTGTGTTGTGCTGACCCCCAGGAGTCTCCAAAGCCAGGAGGCTGGAAAGGCTCAGTCGGCTGAACTGGGGAGAAAGCAGCTACCCCTCTCCCTCGGGACTTCATCCCAGGGAGAAATCAGAGTTCTGTCCATAGAACTCTGGCTGGATTTGCTAAAATTCTGATGGGGAGGCCCTGTCCAGTGAGGAGGGATGGATTTTGGTCTCATTTAAAGAAGCAACCTGGCCACGATCAGTCACAACATCTGTGCTGTGTTATGGGTGACTCCTCCTCGTCCCTGGTACCAGCAGTCTAGAGCGGCCAACTCAAACCACAGATAGAACGGCTGCCCCTCCCCCTGGGAACTCGGTCCACCTCCGGCTGTCTCCAGCCTGTTGCCACTGGCCAGCTGGAATTCCAAGCCAATGGGTCTTGTGAGGTGCTGTGGGAGTGGGGCCTCAGAATTATGTCACTTGGCTCCCTGCATTCAGCCCCCTTCCTAGGGGAATGCACGGATGTATCTCCCGCTTTGCTGGAATTCTCAGGGCTGAGTATGCAAAACGCCTGGGCTTCCATTCATGTCCCAGTAACCCAGCGAGCACTCTGCTGAGACTCCACACAGCTCTGTGCTTCAGACCCAAGGCCATGGTGGCTGAGCTCATGAGGGGACCTCCTGATCTGCAGGTTGCAAAGATCCACGGGAGAAGGATGGTTTCTGGGCAGAGTCGCACAATCACTCATGGCCTCCCTTGCTTGAGAGTGGGGGCTCGGCTAGCTCTGTGCCACACCTAGGTGGGCCATTGCCCCACTTGCTTTTCCTGACTCTCTGTGGGTCGAGCTCTCTGCCTAGTCAGTCCCAATGCAAGAACCTGAATACCTCAATTGAAGGTGCAGAATTCACTTGCAGTTTTCATTGCCCTCCATGAGAGCCACAGGCCACAGCTGCTTCTAATCGGCCAGCTTGGTCCCATCTAAAGTATGATTTCTTAATACCTGAGATGTTTTAAATACATAACAATAATGATATTTATCAAAAATAATATTTTGTTTCAATGTGATAAAAATTGCTAATAAATCAATTCTCTTTTGGTTATCACAAAGCTATCTGGAAATGTAACGTCTGCCATTTATAAAATTTTTGTAGGGTTAATAGAACTTTACTTGAAGGGAGGCTGGCAATATGCATCATGACTTCAAACACTGCCAGTGAAGTTGTGGAGTTTGAAGTGGTACTCACATCTTGTTACTGGGATTATAAATTTGTACAAACTTTATCAATTGTGATTAAACAATATATACCAAAATTATAAATGGCAGTACTCTCTGATTCAGCAATTTCATTTCCAGAAATTTACCCTATAGACATACTCATGATGCCTGGAATTATGTATGAATGGGAGAAAGTATTATACCACCTTTTTACTTAACAAAAGTCTAGAAATCACCTTAATGTTTATCAATCACATTAATGATTATCACCTTACTGTTTATTGAAATTATGGTTATTCATATGATAGAATACTATGCAGCTATTTAAAAAAATAAATTTTAAAAGGATGCTCAAAAATGATGTCCAAGATATTTACAAAGTAAAAAACCTGGTTGCAGAGCCATGTGTCTGATATGTCTCCATTCCTATAAAATCAGAGTGCATATAAATGAATAGAGTATCTCTATTAAATGGTAACTGTTACAAAATTTAAAGTTAATGCAGGCAAGGAATTTCTTTTTTAATGCTAAAACTCCAAGGAACTGCACAAATTTGAGGATTTCCAACACATACCAATCTACCTTTGAACCTACAGATTTTAGGAAATGAGGCTTTTGAAAAATCCAGCATTAATATTCCTAGCTACAGTTGTTTGGAACATAATTAGAATGATCCATTCTTTGGAAGTCTGTAAAATTTGCTCATATAACCATCTGGGCCTAGTCCTTCCTTTGTGAAAGATTTTATTTTACTAGAGATTTTATGTTCTTCATGTTGTAGTACTTCTTAGGTTTTCTATTTCTTCCTGATTCTTGAGTCAATTTTGGTACCACTTAGTACCCCACAGGTTGCTTGGACTCAGAACACATCAGTCAAAGAAAGAGAGAAGAAAGGAAGGCAGGAAGGAGGGAGAAAGAAAAGAAGGAAAGAAGGGGACAAAGAAGGAAAGAGAGAAGGAAGGAAAGAATGAGAGAAAGAAGGATGGAGGGAGAGAAAGATGGAAAGAGAGAAAGAAAGAGAGAAGGAAATGAGAGAGAAGGAAGGAAGGAAGGAGGAAGAAAAAGGGAAAGAGAAAGAAGGAAAGAAACAAGGAAGCAGGGAGGGAGAGAAAGAGGAAGGGAGAGGAAGGAAGGAAGAGAGGAAGGAAGGAGAGTGGGAGGGAAGGGAGAAAGAGAGGGAGGGAGGGAAAGAAAGAAAGAAAGGTGAAAGGTGGGGACGGAAAGGGAAGAGGAGCCAGCCCCAGGCTACAGGCTGTTCACTCTTTTACTTGAACCAGGCACTTCTGCCTTTTAAATATTCCACCTTCTGCCATGAGTTACACTCTTCAATATTCAAATATTCATTCCTCAGAGCATTCAAAGGTCTATGTGTGCCCTGCCATGATGGAGCATGGCTTCAGCTCTCAAACACAACTCTCAGCCAAAATATTCATGACTGGTCCCTCCCATATACTCATCAATCGCCCATATATGGTCTGCATGTGTCCCCCAGAGCTCACATGTTGGAAACTTAATCCTCTATGTGACAGTGTTGAGAGGCAGGGCCTAATAAGAGTGATTGGGTTATGAGATTCTGCCCCCATGCATGGATTAATGTCACTATCTCAGGAGTAGGTTAGTTATCTTGGGAGTGGGCTTGTATTAAAAGCAAGCTCAGCCCCTTTTGCTCTCTTTCTTTCTCAAAGTCTTGCTCTGCTGCCTTCAGTCATGAGATGACACAGCAAGAAGGCCCTCACCAGATGCAGACCCCCCTCACCCTTGGACTTCCTAGCCTCCAGAACTCTAAGAAATAAATTTCTTTTCTTTATAGATTCCCTAGTCTATGATATTCTGTTATAGCAGCACAAAATGGGTTAAGATGCCCCATTACATGGAGAGTGCTGATCCACAGGGTTGAGATCATTGACTTAGGGCTTGGAGTCTTATACAACATCCCTATGGGAGTTGGCCTCCATATTCCCTATCTTCCAGGAATCTCAAATGGTGATCTGAGACCAAAATATAGCCCAGATATTTTGCATTTGGCAATATTGCCCACTTTTCCACAACTTTATCATGACAGTTTTGATGTGCTCCCTTTTATAATCCCTGAAAGGATATGAGTTCAAGATCCTTCAAGGTTACAATCCAAGGATAGAAGAGCCTAGAAAAGAGTCCCATCACCTGGGTGATCAGTGCAGAGATATGTCACAAAGCCTCCATAGGCAAAGCCTAGACAAGAGTTACATCACCTGGGTGATCAGTGCAGAGGTATGTCACAAAGCCCCCGTAGGCAGAGCCTAGACAAGTGTTACATCACCTGGATGACAGGCAAACAACAATGACAACTTATTTTCATCCCCACTTCAGTCTTTGAGGTTAGACAGACCTGGATTCAAATCCAAGCTCCACCCCTCATTGTGTGAGCTTGCTCATGCTGCTAACCTCTCTGAGACTTGACTCTTCATTTGTGAAATGAGGATAAAACCCCTTCTCTCAGGGGCTGTGTCAAGGATGAAATGAGTCATGCATTGGTCAGGACAGGTGATGCTGTATAACAAACAAGCCACCAATCCTCAGTGGCTTTAACAGCAAAGTTGACTTCTTTTCTTTTCTTTTTTTTTTTTTTGTGGGGGTTGGGGTGTGGTGGATGGAGTCTTGCTCTGTCGCCCAGGCTGGAGTGCAGTGGTGCAATCTCAACTCACTGCAACCTCCATCTCCTGGGTTCAAGAGTTTCTCCTGCCTCAGCCTCCCGAGTAGCAGGGACTACAGGTGCCCGCCACCACGCCCAGCTAATTTTTTGTATTTTTAGTAGAGATGGGGTTTCACCGTGTTAGTCAGGATGGTCTCGATCTCCTGACCTCATGATCTGCCCACTTCAGCCTCTCAAAGTCCTGGGATTACAGGTGTGGGCCACTGCACCCGGCCTTGACTTCTCAATTGATTTCACATCCATCACGGGTCAACAAGGGGGCTCTGGTGGTCTTAGTCATTCAGAGACTCAAACAGATAGACCCTTATTCCAGAAGATGCTCCCACAGTTCCAGAAATAGAGCAAAGAAAACACAATCAGCCATGAGCCACTTCTTAAATCCCCTGCCTGGAAGGGATACACATTTCTTCTGTCACAGCTGTTGCCCAAAATGTCTCAGGCCGCCGAGTACAGTGGCTCACCTCTGTAATCTCAGCATTTTGGGAGGCAGAGGCGGGCAGATCACCTGAGGTCAGGAGTTCAAGACCAGTCTGACCGACATGGTGAAACCCTATCTCTACTAATAATACGAAAATTTGCCAGTCGTGGTGGTGGATGCCTGTAGCCCCAGCTACTCTGGAAGCTGAGGCAGGAGAATCACTTGAACCCAGGAGGTGGAGATTGCAATGAGCTGAGACCATGCCACTGCACTCCAGACTGAGTGACAGAGTGAGACTTCATCTCAAAAAAAAAAAAAAAAGTCTCAGGCTATGTTTGAACTAAGAGGGTAGAAAGAATAGTCATTTTGGTTGCCACAAACGTTCAAAACAAAGATGCAGATCACTGATGTAAAATTACAGTTAGTTCTTTCCCACTCCTTTTCAGCTTCTCTTCGTTACCATGAGCCAGCGTCTCTAGTGTCAGTATTCAGTCTATTGCCTCCCAGCTCCTAGTGCACCTTTCAATATGTGCACTGTGATAATCTGGGAAACACTGTTCAATATACCTTCTGGAAGTGAACATTCTGCAGGCCTCTAGGTAGAGGATGGAGAGACTGCAGGGGACAGGAGTTCTCTGGCTGGGCTTTGATCATGTTCAAGCCCCAACCACAGACCAAGGCGTGGTCCCTCAGCCACCTTGTAGCCTTGGCTTGCAACATCTCGACATGGAAACCAAAATGCTGCAGGGCCCATGTGATATGAAAGTTCTTGAAAAGTTGCCCAGACCCCCTCGTGTATCCCTTGTGCAACCTGCACACAGTGACCCGTAGTCTAGAGGGTCTGCACAGAACTGCCATTCCTTCTGCCAGACCCTGCGGGACCCACGCGTTCTAGAGGCTTCCTGCCCTACAAAGGCAGCCAGACTCCCGCCATGCATCCCTGCACTAGGGGCTCACGGCCAGCTCCCTCACCTGCACTCCAGCGGCTCATGCCCAGCTCCCTCACCTGCCCCAACGGCTCACGGCCTGCTGCCTCACCTGCACCAGGCGCTCATGGCCGGCTCCCTCCCCTGCATACCAGCGGTTCACGGCTGGCTCCCTCCCCTGCATTCCAGCGGCTCACCGCCAGCTTGCTCACCTGCACCAGTGGCTCACAGCAGGCTCCCTCCCCTGCACTTCAGCAGCTCATGGCCGGCTCCCTCATCTGCACTCCAGTGGGTGGCCTAGTGCTCGTGCAAAAGCTGCTGACTAGCTCCAGCCTGCCCAAACCCACAAACGTCTCTTATGTGGTGGCTGAACCACATTTAATGACATCTGAACACCTTTCCAATCTGTGCTTCCTTGGGTACCTCCCTCTGCACTAGGACACCAGGCAGACTTGCTTTATGTCTTACAGTGACTCTTTTATCATAGTTGCAATCCTTTATACTCCACTTCCCCGTTAGACCCACTGTGTGCTTTCTATCTTTCGATGGGACCCAGGCTGCTACACACCCTAACCCATGCACATTGCACTTCATTAGTTCCTCACTATTGGCCAAAGATCATGCTCCACCACCCCTCTCTGCCCCCGACTTTCTTTGCTTAATTGAAACCCCTAAATGCCCTCTTTGCGCCCAAAGCTTACTTGCTCTTCCTTCCCTATATTCTTGGCCAGACACAAAAATCTGATTCTCTGGCAAATGCAAAAATGGGGAGAAGGCAGGGGAATCATTTCTCCTCCCTTACATAAGCACTGAGGGTAATGTCATTCCATTGTGTAAGGAATAAAAAAATGAGGCATAGAGAGCTGCCATGATTTGCCTGGACCAATGAAGCTGTCATGGCAGAAGTGGAACAAAGGTTTAGGTGTCCCGAATGTCAGTCCAGCTCCTATGCCTTCAGAACGTGCTGTGGAGGGAGACACCAGGGGACCCCAGTCATGCTGAGCACTCAGGGTTACCCAGGTTCTGAGAGTGGGGACGTGACAGGCTGAATTGACTCCGTCCAGTCCTCCTATACAAAATAAGGATGGAAACCCTCACATAATAGAAGGGAAGACAGGGAAAAAATCCAGGAACCATTAAGAGGCTGATGCCTGGAAGGCCTGCGCAGAATGACAGGGAGATTGGAGCAGAACAGGGGCCCTAGATGGGGACAAGGGGAAGGAAGTGGCCTCAGTGGCCAGATGACACCTATCCACTGCACAGAGGCTGGAGCCTTGAGTTCCATCTAGTCCTTGTCAACTACAATCATTCTGCCCTATGGCTCAATGAGTCCTGGAGAAAATGTGTTTTCTGCAGTCTGGGGAGGTGAGAGTAAAACAATTCAGCCTCAAGAAGTTGAAAGCCCAGGAAATCATAGCACGTGGAGATGGGATTCATACTTAAACTTCCTGCCCTTGACTTCTGGTTTGGCCACTTGACTCACTTTGGCCAATGGATGTGGTAAAGTGGTAGTCTGCCCATTCTGAGCCTGGGTGGTAAGATAAGAGATCTTCACATTTCCCTTTGTTCTTTGCACTCCTGCCATTGCCATGAGAAGAAGGCACCCTGGCAGGCCCCGACCCCAGGAGGATCGGAGACACTTGGAGCATATCCAGCTCAGCCACCACATTTCGAGCTGAAACCTCCCAAGCAACCCATGCTCATGAGTGAGAAATGGTGGCCTATGGTCGTAGGCCTCTGAGGTGTGGGGTTACTTGTTACAAAGCAAGAGTTAACTAATAGAGATTTCTACCTCACATCCCTACGAATCAAAGAACAAAGGAAATAAAACAAAATATGAAAAGCAGATTTCCAATTTTTAGAAGAAACAGAGGACATATTTTATGACACTAAGCAGAGAAAACCTTTTTTTAATATGACACAAAACACAGACACCATAAAAGAAATTACTGATAAATTCAATTGTATTAAATGTAGAAGTTTTGATCTGACAAAAGAGGCCATGAATAAAGTTAAAAGACAAAGATAGTGCATGATATGGTTTGGCTGTGTGTCCCCACCCAAATATCATCTTGAATTGTCCCCCATAATTCTCCTGTGTCGTGGGAGGGACCTGGTGGGAGATAATTGGAATCATGGGGGCTGTTCCCCCATACCGTTCTCCTGGTAGTGAATAAGTCTCACGAGAATTGACGGTTTTATCCAGGGTTCCACTTTTGCATCGTCCTTATTTTTCTCTGGCCACTGCCGTGTAAGAAGTGCCTTTCACCTCCCACCATGATTCTGAGGTCTCTTCAGTCATGTGGAACTGTAAGTCCAATTAAACCTTTTTTTCTTCCCAGTCTGGGTTATGTCTTTATCGGCAGTGTGAAAATGGACTAATACAGTGCACCAATAGGGAAAACATATTTGTAAGGTATTTGGCCAAAAAAGCATTGATATCCAGATCATTAAAATCAAAATTGGCCAGTCATGGTGACTCATGCCTGTAATCCCAGCATTTTGGGAAGCTGAGGCAGGTGGATCACCTGAGGTCGGGAGTTTGATACCAGTCTGACCAACATGGAGAAACCCCATCTCTACTAAAAATACAAAATTAGCTGGGCGTGGTGGCACTTACCTGTAATCCCAGCTACTCAGGAGGCTGAGGCAGGAGAATCGCTTGAACTAGGGTGGCAGAAGTTGCGGTGAGCCGCGATACTGCCATTGCATTCCCACCTAGGTAACAAGTGCAAAACTCCTTCTAAAAAAAAAAAATAGCACTTACAAGTCAGCAAGGAGAAACCAAAGATCCAACAGACATATGGGCCAGGAGCAATTCACAGAGAAGGAGACCCGAAGGGCTGGGAAACACAAGGCACGCGCTCAGCTGCACTGCAAATTCCAGGAACAATATCAAAAAGTGCGATAACAAATATTGATGAAGATGAGTGAAGATGGATGTGAGCACTACTGGCGAGGGGCATTGTGAGGACTCCAGCCCCAAGGTCATCTGGCTATGCTTCCTAGGAAGGGCTGACAACAGACCTGTCCCAAGACCCGAAGACTCACCAGGCCACATGCAGGCTTTGGACCAGAACATCAGCATCACCTTGGGGTGGGGGTTGCAGGGGGAGGCACGCATCCTCAGCTCACCAGAAATGCAGAACTCTAGATTCATCTGGAAGAAATTGTTGAAGGGAAAAGCAACTTTCAGGAGAGTATGTATGGACTGCTATTTGTATAAAATTGCAAAAAGAGACCAAAAAACACTATATCCATTCTTCATGGACATGCACTCTAGGTATTAAACATGGATGGGAAGACACACATTGACTTCAGAATAGTGGGAGGGAGGTGGTAACTGGACTGGAAAAGGGGCATATAACTCGAGCGTCAGCTTGAACATTATGGCTGAATCCGTAATGTTTTCTTCCCTTAAACTCTGGAGCAAATGCATCCAAAAGTTACCATATTTGAATTTTAACTGGGAGGTACATGAAAGTTTAATACCATTATCCTCTATGCAGTCCTGTGTGTTTGTAATATTGAGCCATATTTTTTAAACACTTGACTCAGCATGAAAGGAAGCTTGCCTACATGGTAACAATGGTTATCTTTAGGTAGCAGAATTCAAGACTGATTCTTTTTTCTTTTTTTCCTACTTGTATGTTATCTCTATTTCCCTGTGTGAGGATTTATGACTGTTGTGATGAAAAGGCTAGTATTCTAACTCCCTGCATCATAAGCACACACCATGCCCTGGCTGGCAGGATGAGGAGGAGGGAGCGTGTCTGTTCACCTGGCCTGCCCTAGGCAACTCTGCAGAGAAAGACACAGGCGCTTCCCCTCTGCAGCCAAAGAGTTAAGAAGGTTCGATGTGAAATGAATCATTCCAGGGGAGATAAATCCCGGCCTTATCTAATTCTGTATCCTGAGGCTGATTAATTTAAACTCAAAAATAAAATAAACATCATCTTTAAATAGGGATTAAATACTCAGCGGGGTCCTTAGTTGAACAAACTGACATACATTTTATGGTATGGATTCAGGGGGCCCGGGGTGGGGCGAGGACTATCTGTGGGGTTGCTCGCTGAGCTAAGGAGAGAAAATCACCAGTGCTCCCGGATTCTGGAGTGCATTCACCTTTAGTTTCTTCTCTGGATACCCGCAGAAAACCAAAGAGCCACACTGTGGCAGGATCTTCACACAGGAGGTGGGCTTGTGCCCTGTGTCCTCGAGGGAGAAGGAATTATGGAGGGAGTGGGTGAAGAGTTTGGAGGAAGCCCCTGATGTTCTTAGAAAACAGTAGGAAAGAGATTCCCTTGGCTGGGCATTCTTTCCAAATAGGAGACAAGAGCATGGACTAAAAACAGAGACTCCCAGCTCCCTCCATGGTCCCTGAGTTCAGAAGGGAACCCAGGGAGGTGGGGCAAGTAAAAAATTGAGTGGGTTATCTGACATGTGCCTGGAGGGACCCACGAACCTGAGTGAGGCATGAGAGTGGGCAGCTGGTGGATTCTTCCAGGCTTGCAACACAAAGCCAGGCGGATGTCCTAAGAACAAGCCATGTCTGCAGAGGCCTCTACTGCATCCCTGCCTCATGGGCACAATGTCACAGAACAGAATTACAACATGTGGGAGGCCATATGCAGTGTGAGTGTCATAATGGAGCTGGACCCAGAAGGCCCCAGACCCAGGTCCAGCTACGTTTCTGCTATAGTCAATGTTTGTGTGCCCCTAAAATCCGTGTGTTGAAATCTAACCCCTGATAGGTTAGGTTTGAATTAGGAGGCAAAGACTTTAGGAAGTGATTTCATCATGAAAGCAAAGACCCCATGAATGGGATAAGTGGCCTTGTAAAAGGGAGCCAAGGGAGCTTGTTCTCTCCTTCCACCATGTGAGGACACAGCTAGGAGGTGCCCTCTATAAGGAACAGGTCCTCAACAGACACCTAATCTGCCACTACTTTGACCTTCCACTTGCCAGCATCCGGACCTATGAGACATAAACTTCTGCTGCTTATAAGCCCCCTAGGCTAAGGTATTTTGTTACGGCAGCCCAAATGGAAGAAGACAGCCTCTGACCATCTTGAGCAACTCACTTATCTGCTGAACTCTCCACAGATTTAACTGTGATGAAATCCCGTCAACAGATGTATATTGAACACCTACTGTGTATAAGGACATATTGTGTTATTGGATAGGGTATAAAGAAGGTCACAGTTCCCCAGAGGTAGGCACTGCCATAGCTGAAGAGCAAACCCTAGTTGCTGTGGCCAACGGGGGAAGGGATGGGTGTCAGAGAAAAAGAGAACATGCTAGAGTCCATGTCTGCAGCAATATTGGAATGTCTAATGGATGGTTCCCAAAGTGGTGACTCCTCATCTTCTTACAAAAACTCATAGTTGTCCCTGTGTAAAGTCTTCCCAGAAGTGCAGGGCAGTTGAGAATATGCAGATCAGAAAAGACAAGAGGACAGAGAGAGCAGATTCCTGGCATCAGCAGCCACGGACTTCTTGCAGGAAGGAAAGTATTTCTCCTGGATCCCTGGGTAGCAGATAAACGTACAGAAATACATTTGTTGGCTATTTGATTCATGGACTTTGAACATTTGCAGACTGAGAGGCTGAGTATCTTCTCCAATCAGACGGTGTGGGGCGTGGAAGTACAGAAAGGGATCAAAGGAGGAGGAAAACAGAGCAATGAGAAGGGAGCTCTCAGCACGACCAACACAGAGACCTGGGTCTCTGCTACCAACAATATGAGCTAATGTATAATGATTGCAGGTCTGTAAACAGCAGGCTTTCCATATCACATGTGGCAAGCTCTGATGACAACCCTGTGTGACAGGTATTCTTATCAGAGGCAGAGAGTTGTTAAATAATCACACACAACTGGTGGAATGCTGGAGAGATTGGTTTTACTTGGTCATCTTCCTGTTTGCTTTCTATTTGTCCCATCTATAGTTGGTTCTCCTTTTCCTCTTTGACTTCTTTTGAATTTGTTGAGTATTTTTATTTCATTTAATCTTTTTTGTTGGCCTTTTACATATAACTATTTGTGCTTCGTTTGGTTTTGAGTTTTAACCATTTCTCTATGGTTTATGGTATATCATATGGTTTGGATCTGTGTCCCCACCCAAATCTCATGTGGAAATGTAATCCCCAATGCCAAACGTGGGGCCTGGAGCGAGGTGATTGGACCATGGAGCCAGTTTCTCATTGTTTAACGCCATCCCCACTTGGTACTATATAGCGAGTGAGTTCTCACAAGATCTGGTTGTTTAATAGTGTGTGGCACCTCCCCCTCTCTCTCTTCCTCCTGCTCCAGTCACATAAGATGTGCCTGCTTCCCCTTTGCCTTCCATCATGATTGTAAGCTCCCTGAGGCCTCCCCAGAAGCCGAGCAGATGACAGAATCATGCTTCCTGTACAGCCTGCAGAACCGTGAGCCAATTAAACCTCTTTTCTTCATAAATTACCCAGTCTCAGACTTTTTTTTTTTTTTTTGAGATGTAGTCTCGCTCTGTCGCCCAGGCTGCAGTGCAGTGGTGCAATCTCGGCTCACTGCAACCTCTGCCTCCCTAGATCAAGTGATTCTGCTGCCTCAGCCTCTCGAGTAGCTTAGCTGACACTACAGGCATATGCCACCAAGCCCACCTAATTTTTTTTGTATTTTTAGTAGAGACAGGGTTTCACCATGTTGGCAAGGATGGTCTCAATCTCTTGAACTCATAATCCACACGCCTCAGCCTCCCAAAGTGCTGGGATTACAGGCGTCAGCCACCATGCCCAGCCCCAGTCTCAGACATTTCTTTTTTTTTAAATTTATTTATTATTTTTTTAAAGTATTATTATTATACTTTAAGTTTTAGGGTACATGGGCACAATGTGCAGGTTTGTTACATATGTATACATGTGTCATGTTGGTGTGCTGCACCCATTAACTCGTCATTTAGCATTACGTATATCTCCTAATGCTATCCCTCCCCCCTCCCCCCACCCCACAACAGTCCCTGGTGTGTGATATCTCCCTTCCTGTGTCCATGTGTTCTCATTGTTCAATTCCCACCTATGAGTGAGAACATGTGGTGTTTGGTTTTTTGTTCTTGTGATAGTTTGCTGAGAATGATGGTTTCCAGCTTCACCGATGTCCCTACAAAGGACGTGAACTCATGATTTTTTATGGCTGCATAGTATTCCATGGTGTATATGTGCCACATTTTCTTAATCCAGTCTATCATTGTTGGACATTTGTGTTGGTTCCAAGTCTTTGCTATTGTGAATAGTGCCGCAATAAACATATGTGTGCATGTGTCTTTATAGCAACATGATTTATAATCCTTTGGGTATATACCCAGCAATGGGATGGGTGGGTCAAATGGTATTTCTAGTTCTAGATCCCTGACGAATCACCACACTGACTTCCAAAATGGTTGAATTAGTTTACAGTCCCACCAACAGTGTGAAAGTGTTCCTATTTCTCCACATCCTCTCCAGCACCTGTTGTTTCCTGACTTTTTAATGATCACCATTCTAACTGGTGTGAGATGGTATCTCATTGTGGTTTTGATTTGCATTTCTCTGATGGCCAGTGATGATATTGTGGTTTTGATTTGCATTTCTCTGATGGCCAGTGATGATGAGTATTTTTTCATGTGTTTCTTTGGCTGCATAAATGTCTTCTTTTGAGAAGTGTCAGACATTTCTTTATAGCAGTTCAAGAACAGATTAATACAGTATATGTATTTAACTTAGCATTGGCTGCCATCAACATTATACCACTTCACATAGAGGATAAGAACCTTAAAACAGTGCCCATTCATTTCCCTCCTTTTGGGTTTCGTGTTATTGTTTTCATGCATTTTGCTTCTGTATGTGATGTAAACACATTAATTTGTTATCATTTTTGCCTTAAACAGTCAATTATCTTTTAAAAATGCTTTTTAATGTTGTATTTTTGCTCACACATTTGCCATCTCTGGTGCTCTACATTCTTTTGTGTAGATCTGGACTTCCATCTGGTTTCACTTTCCCTCTGCCTGAAGGATTTCCTTTAATACTCCTTGTGGTGAGGACGTGCTGTTAATGCATTCTTCAAGCTTTTTAATGTCTGAAAGTCTTTATTTCACTATCATTTTTGAAAGATATTTTTGCTGGGTGTAGAATTCTAGACTGGCAATCGTTTTATCCTTATGTATTTTATCGAAGTCACTCCACTATCCTGTGGTTTGCATTATTTCTTTTCTTTGTTTTTTTGAGACAAGGTCTCCCTCTGTCACCCAGGCTGCAGTGCAGTGGCATGATTTCAGCTCACTGAAACATTTACCTCCTGGGTTCAAGCAATCCTCCCGCCCCAGCCTCCCAAGTAGCTGGGACTACAGGCATGCAACACCACACCCAGCTAATTTTTGCATTTTATGTAGAGGCCAGGTTTTGCCATGTTGCCCAGGCTGGTCTAGAACTCCTGGGCTCAAGTGATCATCCTGCCTTGACCTCCCAAAGTGCTGGGATTACAGGTATGTGCCACCACACCTGACCTTGCATTCTTTCTAACCAGATGTCTGCCATCTTTTTTTTTTTTTTTTTTTGAGACAGAGTCTCACTCTGTCGCCCAGGCTGGAGTGCAATGGTGCCATCTCAGCTCACTGCAACCTCCGCCTCCCAGGTTCAAGGGATTCTCCCTGCCTCAGCCTCCTGAGCATCTGGGGTTACAGATGCGTGCCACCATGCCCTGTTAATTTTTGTATTTTTAGTAGAGACGGGATTTTGCTATGTTGCGCAGACTGGTCTTGAACTCCTGGTCTCGAGTGATCACCCTGACTCAGCCTCCCAAAGTGCTGGGATTACAGGTGTGAGCCACCACGCTCAGTCTATTTTCATCTTTGTCCCTCTCTGTATAATGTCCTTTTCCCTTTGGTAACCTTTCAGATTTTCTCTTTGTTACTGGGTTGAGGCAATTTGATTATGATGTGTTTCAGTGTCTCATCCTCATGTCTCTTGTGCTAGGGGTTCGTTGGTTCTTAGATTTCTGGGTTTACAGTTTTTCTCAAATTTAAATTTTTTCAGCCACAGCTTTTTCAAATATTTTTTCTTCTACTCCTTCCCACCTTCTTCAGGAACTCCAATTCCACATATATTAGTCGTGTTGATGCTGATTTTCTGCTCAGTTTTTTCCATTATTTTCTCCATGTTCCATTTTTGATAGTTTCTGATGCTACATCTTCCAGTTGACTAATCCTTTTTTGTATAATATCTATTCTACATTAAATGCCATTTAGTATATTTTTCATCTCAGACATTGTATTTTTCGTCTCTAGAAATTCAAGCTGGGTCTTCCATGTCTCTACTTCCATGTTCTAGCTTCCCTTTACCTTCTTCTTGTGGAATGTTATCATTACAATAAGTGTTTTAATATCGTTGCCTACTAATTCCATCTTATTTGACATTTCTGTATCTATTGATCAAGTTTTCTTCTTATGATTGAGACATTTCCTTTTTCTTCACATGCCTGGTAATTTTCAGCTGGATGGCAGACAACGTGAAATTTATCTTATTGTGTCTTGGATATTGTTGGGTTCCTATAAATATTATTGAGCTATGTTCTAGGATGCAGTTAAATTATCTGGAAAGATTTTGGTTCTTTGAGGGTTTTCTTTGAGGTCTTGTTAAGTAGGACTTTAGCAGCCTCATCCTAGATCTAATCTTCCACACTACTGAGGCAATTCTTTTCTGAGTGTTCCATCCAATGGTCCAGGAAGTATGATTTGTCCACTGTTGCTGGTGGGAACAGCAAATATGCCTGGTTCTGTGGGAGGTTCAAGCATTGTTCTTTCTGTTTCCTTCAGGTATTTTTTCCCCCAGACTTGTAGTTTACACACATACATGTGCTGATCAGTATTTAGCTGAAGACTCTGGAGCTTTTTTGTTTCGTGTCTTTGTACTATTCATTCCCTGAATACTCTGCTCTGCAGAGTTTATCTGAGCTTCTTTAGTCTCCCTGGACTCCCAGCTTCATCTCTTCAACTCAGAACCCTCACCAGGCTCAGCCTGGGTTTTCCCCCCTTGAGCTGTGGCCTAGAAACGGTTTGCCTTCTGGTCACCGCACCTGGGCAGTCCAGAGTCAGGAGAAACCCTAGGCCATGTGGCAGAATGCCCACTGTCCCCACTTCACCACACTGTACTCTCTCCATCCAGTGCTAGCTGCAGCCACGCTGTCTCACAGTCCAGAATGCTAGCCAGAGACCAAGCTTTCTGCAGTGCCTTGGCTGGGGCTCACAGATAAGGATGGCCAAGCAGTGCTCCCAGAAGCCAGCAGATGCCATCAATCAGTTTTACATCCGCCAGGCACTGAGAATCTCTGGACACCAGAAGTGTCCTCTGTTGCCAGAGCTGAACTCTCAAGTGAAGACTCCAGAAGGCCCTGAAATGTGGGCAGGCTCCCATTATTGCCTGTCTGTGGCCACAAGGACACAGACCCTTTCCATGGCTGGTGAGATGTCCAGCACACTGGGGGCTCTGGAAAGCCCCTTTTCAACTTTAGGCCTTAGCTGAGCTCTCCATTTACCTCAGACCAGGCAGTGCACATTATGGGGGACACCGCTGGGTGCTGGGATGAAAATAGCACTTTGCATGTGAGCTAGGATTGAGAGCCCACCGCTCTCTTCCCCAGTGAGGCGGTGGCCAGTTACCATCTCTGGCTTCTGTCCCCTTACCAGCCTCCTCTGCTACAATTGCATTTCTGGCAGGCAGTGGATCAGGGAAGCACCAGCAGTTGAGGACCATGTGGAGAACCACTACTGACCAAGCATTCCCAACCTGACAGCAGAACAGGGGTACAGCAGTGCTGAGGTGAACTTGACAGAGAAATTTGTGACCATGAAGGCAGCCAACACTTCCAACTTATCACAACCTGCCTCTCACATAGATTTATTGTGGAAGAACACAACCATCTCCGTGTCAAGAAGAAATGGTCCTCACTCTAAACCATCACCCTTGGATTTAGATCATGAGGCTGTCCTGTCTTTAGTATGGAACTGAAAAGCTTTAATTTCCACAAAAATGTAAGGTTTTGGGCTACAGCCTTATTAAAACAAGCAAATATGAGCATCGTGGTCTACAGATGGAGTATCTGGGGCTCTAAACAAACTGCTCCTTGAAAGTATAATCACTGTCTTTTTGTTTGTTTCTTTAGCCTGGTAGCACAATGTCAGAAATTTCCTTGGTCATAGGGAATATAAAACATAGTTTGAACAAAAGCAGCAATAAAGCTACAAACTATTTTTTGGTGTATTTGCTTAAGTATAAGATAGCTGATTGGGGCTTTATCATGTAACATTAGTTTGCTGAGTTTTCATTAAGTTTGTTAAACTTGAATTGTGAATAAATATATGGCTGATTCATATTGTAATTAAACTGCACATTGACATAAACTGTACATTAAAAGTTGCTGCACACTGTCATCCAAAATAATACTTAGGTAAAACCAAAAATACTATAAACCAATGTCAGGGAACCTACCCTAAAATAAAAATACAGTTAACATGGAATTGCAAAACTAGAATGGGAGAATTATTTACCCATAAAATCTTGTTTGGAACATTGATATAACACTAGAAAAGAATTTTTCTAAATAACCACAATGTTCAACAGTGACTGTGCACCTGTGAAGACCAGGCATTTTGAATCATTGCCCTGTGGTGTATGGCAGTACAATTTTACAGAAATGCACTACAATAATTAATAAAATTCTCTAATGGGAAGATTTTAATGAATAAGTATTTACGCTATTAATATTTATAATATTGGTGCTATTATTTCACAAAATAAAAAAGCTGTATTACAGCCTTTAAAAGCAAATAATAGCCTTACATTTCTAAATAAAGAAAAAATATAAATTTTATGAAATATGGTTAAGAGTAATTGATAAAACAAAAATTGTGACATAAATTATATCATAGTTTGGATAGAGGTTGAAGAAAGTGGATGAAAATTTTAATGAGCCCTTTTTGTGTGCACTAAACTTAATCTTATAGGTGAACATTATAATATATAAAGGTACCTACTAGCTATCTAATTTACCTTTTACACAATGTATAAATCCTAGCCTATTGGTCTTAATATTTGAACCTAAAATAACACACAAACATACAAGAGAACAAAATAAGGAAGAAATGTATGGAGACAGTGATATTATCAAGATGGTGGAATAGGGGGTCCCTACTTTTGTATTCCCCTGCAGTAATAAAAACTAGTCAGCCATCCATCAACCAAAGTAACTTAATGAGAGATCCAGGCACAATGGCTCATGACAGTAATCTCCTCCATTCAGGAACCTGAGTCAGGAGGACTGCTCCAGGCCAGGCGTTCAAGAACAGCCTGGGCAATATAGTGAATTTGCGATACAGGGCATTATGAAACCTCGCTAAAACCCAAGATCGAAAAGAGTCATTTTGAGAAGCAGGCCCTTTGGTTAATAAGGTGTCATATTATCCAAAACAATCCGTAAGTTAACTCAAATCCCTATCAAAATCCCTGTCCCACTTTTTATAGTAATGGAAAATGCAAGCCTACAATGTAGGCTGAATGGCCAAGCCAATCATGAGGAATAAGAAAAAAGCTGGGGACATCATACTCGTGACTCACACAAAACAGCTCAAAAGTCACTGTTTGTAGATAACCTGGGGAACACCTGCTAGGTACACAGTGGGAGCCACACTCACCCACACATCTGCTATTAGGCCCAGCATATAGCAGAACCTGCCCTAGTGCCTGCTTCACAAAACAAAGCCCTGAAGACAATCCAGCCTGCCCAAAAACCTAACAGAACTCACAACCACATGTGCTCCTGGTAACAAGCCCACTAAAGGTAAAACCCACTTCAGATTCGGCAGCCACCTTGTGATGCAGCTACAAGCCTTTTTACTGCAAACCCAGTAAAGATCTCATCAGCCTTGAGACCTAACAGATGAAGATCTTTACCTACTAAAACCAGTTTATAAAAATGAAAAGAGCTGGCTGGGCACGGTGGCTCACACCTGTAATCCCAGCACTTTGGGAGGACGAGGTGGGTGGATCACGAGGTCAGGAGTTCAAGACCAGCCTGGCCAAGATGGTGAAACACTGTCTCTACTAAAAATACAAAAATTAGCCGGGCATGGTGGTTGGCACTTGTAATCCCAGCTACTCAGGATGCTGAGGCAGAGAATTGCTTGAACCCAGGAGGCGGAGGTTGCAGTGAGCCAAGATCGTGCCACAGCACTCCAGCCTGGGTGACAGAGCGAGTCTCCGTCTCAAAAACAAAACAACAACAACAACAACGACAAATGAAAAGAGGTGTTTGCTCCTTCAAATGCACAAACACCAATGCAAGTCTATATTATGCCTGTTCTAACGGTTCTATTTTAACATAGAATAGGAAGTGCTACATAGAATAATTAAGTCCTACGTCAAATAATTAAGCAAGAAAAGCTAAAAGATCCAAATTGAAAAGAAGAAATAACGTCACTGTTTGTAGATGACATAATGTTATATATAAAAAACATAAATAGTACATTTAAATACTGCATTTAATGCATCTATATATAAACAGTGCATCTAATAAATGCACTCAGTAAAGAAGCAGCATATACAATTAACATACAAATATCAGTTTTGTTTCTATATGCTAGCAACAAACCAGTAAAAAAGAAAAAAAATCTCATTTACAATAGCAACAAAATAATAGATTTCTTAGCAATAAATTTAACAAATGAGGTGAAAGATCTTTACAATAAAAAATAAAATATATTGATGAAAAAAATTAAAGAAGATACAAATAAATGTAACTATATTACATGTTTATGGATTAGAAGAATATTGTTTAAGCACGATGTTATCCAAAGTAATCTGTAGATTAATTCAACTTCCTATAAAAATTCCTGTGCCACTTTTTTTTTTTTTTTTTTTTTGAGACGGAGTCTTGCTCTGTCGCCCAGGCTGGAGTGCAGTGGCGGGATCTCGGCTCACTGCAAGCTCCGCCTCCCGGGTTCACGCCATTCTCCTGCCTCAGCCTCCCAAGTAGCTGGGACTACAGGCGCCCGCCACTACGCCCGGCTAATTTGCCACTTTTTACAGCAATAGAAAATAAAGTCTGCAATGTATATAAAACTATAAGAAATATTGAAAGGCCAAAGCAATCACGAGAAATATAAAGAAATCTGGGGACATTATACTTTATTATTTAAAACTACATTTCAAGACTACAGTAAACATAATAGAATGGAATGTTTATAGGAACAAACACAAAAACCAATGGAACGGAATACAGAGCCCAGAAGTAAATCTATGCATCTAAAGTTAATCTTTGACAAGGGCGCTATGAATACTCAATACAAAAAGTGTAGCCTTTTCAATACTTAGTGCTGGGAAAACTGGATTCTCGCAAGCACAATAATAACACTTGATCATATTTCTTATGCCAGACATAAAAATTGACTTAAAATACTTAATACATAAATCCTTAAAAGAAAATCTTTTAAAAAGCATATGAAAAGCCTCCATGATAGTGGCCTTGGCAATTTTTTAAAAATACGATATCAAAAGTATAGCAATAAAACCAGACATAAAGTTGTAGTGTATTAAACTATTGTGCACAGCAAAAAATAAGAAAACATTTAAGATGGGATAAAATATTTGCAAACTATATATGATAAGAGGTTAATATTCAAAATATAGCAGAAACTCATACAAATCAGAAGCTAAACAATAATAATTATAAAACCCAACTAAAAAATGGGCAAAAGATTAAACATTATTTTTTAATATTATTATACTTTAACTTTTAGGGTACATGTGCACAACGTGCAGGTTTGTTACATATGTATACATGTGCCATGTTGCTTTGCTCCACCCATTAACTCGTCATTTAGCATTAGGTATATCTCCTAATGTTATCCTTCCCCCCTCCCACACCCCACAACAGGCCCCGGTGTGTGATGTTCCCCTTCCTGTGTCCACGTGTTCTCACTCTTCAATTCCCACCTATGAGTGAGAACAGGTGGTGTTTGGTTTTTAGTCCTTGCGATAGTTTGCTGAGAATGATGGTTTCCAGCTTCATCGATGTCCCTACAAAGGACATGAACTCATCATTTTTTATGGCTGCATAGTATTCCATGATGTATATGTACCACATTTTCTTAATCCAGTCTATCATTGTTGGACATTTGTGTTGGTTCCAAGTCTTTGCTATTGTGATAGTGCCACAATAAACATATGTGTGCATGTGTCTTTATAGAAGCATGATTTATAATCCTTTGGGTATATAGCCAGTAATGGGATGGCTGGGTCAAATGGTATTTCTAGTTCTAGATCCCTGAGGGATCACCACACTGACTTCCACAATGGTTGAACTGGTTTACAGTCCCACCAACAGCGTAAAAGTGTTCCTATTTCTCCACATCCTCTCCAGCACCTCTTGTTTCCTGACTTTTTAATGATCACCATTCTAACTGGTGTGAGATGGTATCTCATTGTGGTTTTGATTTACATTTCTCTGATGGCCAGTGATGGTAAGCATTTTTTCATGTGTTTTTTGGCTGCATAAATTTCTTTTGAGAAGTGTCTGTTCATGTCATTTGCCCACTTTTTGATGGGGTTGTTTGTTTTTTTCTTGTAAATTTGTTTGAGTTCATTGTAGATTCTGGATATTAGTCCTTTGTCCGATGAGTAGATTGCAAAAATTTTCTCCCTTTCTGTATGTTGCCTGTTCACTCTGATGGTGGTTTCCTTCACTGTGCAGAAGCTCTTTAGTTTAATTAGATCCCATTTGTCAATTTTGAACTTTGTTGCCATTGCTTTTGGTGTTTTAGACATGAAGTCCTTGCCCATGCCTATGTCTTGAATGGTATTGCCTAGGTTTTCTTTTAGTGTTTTTATGGTTTTAGGACTAACATGTAAGCTTTAATCCATCTTGAATTAATTTTTGTATAAGGTGTAAGGAAGGGATCCAGTTTCAGCTTTCTACATATGGCTAGCCAGTTTTCCCAGCACCATTTATGAAATAGGGAATCCTTTCCCCTTTGCTTGTTTTTCTCAGGTTTGTCAAAGATCATATAGTTGTATATATGTGGCATTATTTCTGAGGGCTCTGTTCTGCTCCATTGGTCTATATCTCTGTTTTGGTATCAGTACCATGCTGTTTCGGTTACTGTAGCCTTGTAGTATAGTTGGAAGTCAGGTAGCGTGATGCCTCTAGCTTTGTTCTTTTGGCTTAGTATTGACTTGACAATGCAGGCTCTTTTTTGGTTCCATATGAACTTTAAAGTAGTTTTTTCCAATTCTGTGAAGAAACTCATTGGTAGCTTGATGGGGTTGGCATTGAATCCATAAATTACCTTGGGCAATATGGTAATTTTCACAACATTGATTCTTCCTACCCACGAGCATGGAATGTTCTTCCATTTGTTTGTATCCTCTTTTATTTCATTGAGCAGTGGTTTGTAGTTCTCCTTGAAGAGGTCCTTCACATCCCTTGTAAGTTGGATTCCTAGGTATTTTAATCTCTTTGAAGCAATTGTGAATGGGAGTTCACTCATGATTTGGCTCTCTGTTTATCTGTTATTGGTGTATAAGAATGCTTGTGATTTCTGCACATCGATTTTGTATCCTGAGACTTTGCTGAAGTTGCTTATCAGCTTAAGGAGATTTTTGGCTGAAACAACAGGGTTTTCTAGATATACAATCATGTCATCTGCAAACAGGGACAATTTGACTTCCTCTTTTCCTAACTGAATGCCTTTTATTCCCTTCTCCTGCCTGATTTCCCTGGCCAGGACTTCCAACACTATGTTGAATAGGAGTGGTGAGAGAGGGCATCCCTGTCTTGTGCCAGTTTTCAAAGGGAATGCTTCCAGTTTTTGTCCATTCAGTATGATATTGGCTGTGGGTTTGTCATAGATAGCTCTTATTATTTTGAGATACGTCCCATCAATATCTAATTTATTGAGAGGTTTTAGCATGAAGTGTTGCTGAATTTTGTCAAAGGTCTTTTCTGCATCTATTGAGATAATCTTGTGGTTTTTGGCTTTGATTCTTTTTATATGCTAGATTATATTCATTCATTTTCTTATGTTGAACCAGCCTTGTATCCCCAGGGATAAAGCCCACTTGATCATGGTGGATAAGCTTGTTTATGTGTTGCTGGATTTGGTTTGCCAGTATTTTATTGAGGATTTTTGTGTCAATGTTCATCAAGGATATTGGTCTAAAATACTCTTTTTTTTTTGTTTTGTTTTGTCTCTGCCAGGCTTTGGTATCAGGATGATGCTGGTTTCATAAAATGAGTTAGTGAGGATTCCTTCTTTTTCTATTGATTGGAATAATTTCAGAAGGAATGGTACCAGCTCCGCCTTGTACCTTTGGTAGAATTCGGGTGTGAATCCATCTGGTCCTGGACTTTTTTTGTTGGTAAGCTATTAATTATTGCATCAACTTCAGAGCCTGTTATTGGTTTATAGAGAGATTCAACTTCTTCCTGGTTTAGTCTTGGGAGGGTGCAGGTTTCGAGGAATTTATCCATTTCATCTAGATTTTCTAGTTTATTTACGTAGAGGTGTTTATAGTATTCTCTGATGGTAGTTTGTATTTCTGTGGGATCAGTGGTGATATCCCCTTTGTCATTTTTTATTGCATCTATTTGATTCTTCTCTTTTCTTCTTTATTAGTCTTGCTAGCAGTCTATCAATTTTGTTGATCTTTTCAAAAAACCAGCTCCTGGATTCATTGATTTTTTGAAGGGTTTTTTGTGGTTCTATTTCCTTCAGTTCTGCTCTGATCTTAGTTATTTCTCACCTTCTACTAACTGTTGAATGTGTTTGCTCTTGCTTCTGTAGTTCTTTTAATTATGATGTTAGGGTGTCAATTTTAGATATTTCCAGCTTTCTCTTGTGGGCATTTAGTGCTATAAATTTCCCTCTACACACTGCTTTGAAAGTGTCCCAGAAATTCTGGTATGTTGTGTCTTTGTTCTCGTTGGTTTCAAAGAACATCTTTATTTCTACCTTCATTTCGTTATGTACCCAGTAGTCATTCAGGAGCAGGTTGTTCAGTTTCCATGTAGTTGAGCGGTTTTGAGTGAGTTTCTTAATCCTGAGTTCTAGTTTGATTGCACTGTGGTCTGAGAGACAGTTTGTTATGATTTCCGTTCTTTTACATTTGCTGAGGAGTGCTTTACTTCCAACTATGTGGTCAATTTTGGAATATGTGTGGTGTGGTGCTAAAAAGAATGTATATTCTGTCGATTTGGGATGGAGAGTTCTGTGGATGCCCATTAGGTCCGCTTGGTGCAGAGCTGAGTTCCATTCCTGGATATCCTTTTTAACTTCCTTCCTTGTTGATCTCTCTAATGTTGACAGTGGGGTGTTAAAGTCTCTGATTATTATTGTGTGGGAATCTAAGTCTCTTTGTAGGTCACTAAGGACTTGCTTTATGAATCTGGGTGCTCCTGTATTGGATGCATATATATTTACAATAGTTAGTTCTTCTTGTTGAATTGATCCCTTTACCATCATGTAATGACCTTCTTTTTCTCTCTTGAGCTTTGTTGTTTTAAAGTCTGTTTTATCTGAGACTAGGGTTGCAACCCCTGCCATTTTTTGTTTTCCATTTGCTTGGTAGATCTTCCTCCATCCCTTTATTTTGAGCCTATGTGTGTCTCTGCACATGAGATGGGTTTCCTGAATACAGCACCCTGATGGGTCTTGACTCTTTATCCAATTTGCCAGTCTGTGCCTTTTAATTCGAGCATTTAGCCCATTTACATTTAAGGTTAGTATTGCTAAGTGTGAATTTGATCCTGTCATTATGATGTTAGCTGGTTATTTTGCTTGTTAGTTGATGCAGTTTCTTCCTAGCCTCAATGGTTTGTACAGTTTGGCTTGTTTTTTGCAGTGGCTGGTACCGGTTGTTCCTTTCCACGTTTAGTGCTTCCTTCAGGAGCTCTTTTAGGGCAGGTCTGGTGGTGACAAAATCTCTCAGTATTTGCTTATCTGTAAAGGATTTTATTTCTCCTTCACTTATGAAGCTTAGTTTGGCTGGATATGAAATTCTGGGTTGAAAATTCTTTTCTTTAAGAATGTTGAATATTGGTCCCCACTCTCTTCTGGCTTGTAGAGTTTCTGCCGAGAGATCAGCTGTTAGTCTGAAGGGCTTCCCTTTGTGGGTAACCCGACCTTTCTCTCTGGCTGCCCTTAACATCTTTTCCTTCATTTCAACTTTGGTGAAGCTGCCAATGATGTGTCTTGCCATTGCTCTTCTCGAGGAGTGTCTTTGTGACATTCTCTGTATTTTCTGAATTTGAATGTTGGCCTGCCTTGCCAGGTTGGAGAAGTTCTCCTGGATAATATCCTGCTGATTGTTTTCCAGCTTGGTTCCATTCTCCCCGTCACTTTCACGTACACCAATGAGACATAGATTTGGTCTTTTCACATAGTCCCATATTTCTTGGAGGCTTTGTTCATTTCTTCTTATTATTTTTTCTCTAAACTTCTCTTCATGCTTCATTTCATTCATTTCATCTTCCATCGCTGATGCCCTTTCTTCCAGTTGATCGCATCAGTTACTGAGGCTTGTGCATTTGTCACGTAGTTCTTTTGTCATGGTTTTCAGCTCCATCAGATCCTTTAAGAACTTCTCTGCATTGGTTATTCTAGTTATCCATTCGTGTATTTTTTTTTTCAAAGTTTTTAACTTCTTTGCCATTGGTTTGAACTTCCTCCTTTAGCTCGGAGTAGTTTGATCTTCTGAAGTCTTCATTTCTCAACTCATGAAAGTCATTCTCCATCCAGCTTTGTTCCATTGCTGGTGAGGAGCTGCGTTCCTTTGGAGGAGGAGAGGTGCTATGATTTTTAGAGTTTCCAGTTTTTCTGCTCTTTTTTCCCCATCTTTGTGGTTTTATCTATCTTTGGTCTTTGATGATGGTGATGTACAGATGGGTTTTTGGTGTGTATGTCCTTTCTGTTTGTTATTTTTCCTTCTAACAGAGAGGACCCTTAGCTGCAGGTCTGCTGGAGTTTACTGGAGGTCCACTCCAGACCCTGTTTTCCTGGTTATCAGCAGTGGAGGCTGCAGAACAGCGGATATTGGTGAACTGCAAATGCTGCTGTCTGATGGTTCCTCTGGAAGTTTTGTCTCAGAGGAGTACCTGGCCGTGTGAGGTGTCAGTCCACCCCAACTGGGGGGTGCATCCCAGTTAGGCTACTCGGGGGTCAGGGACCCACTTGAGGAGGCAGTCTGCCCATTCTCAGATCTCAACCTGTGTGCTGGGAGAACCACTACTCTCTTCAAAGCTGTGGGACAAGGACAATTATGTCTGCAGAAGTTTTTGCTGTCTTTTATTTGTCTGTGCCCTGCCCCCAGAGGTGGAGCCTACAGAGGCAGGCAGGCCTTCTTGAGCTGTGGTGGGCTCCACCTAGTTTGAGCTTCCCGGCCACTTTGTTTACCTACTCAAGCCTGAGCAATAGTGGGCACCCCTCCCTCAGCCTCACTGCCACCTTGCAGTTCGATCTCAGACTTCTGTGCTAGCAATGATTGAGGCTCCGTGGGCATAGGACCCTCCAAGCCATGTGCAGGATATAATCTCCTGGTGTGCTGTTTGTGAAGCTGGTTGTAAAAGCACAGTATTAAGGTGGGATTGACCCGATTTTCCAGTTGCCATCTGTCACCCCTTTCTTTGAGGAGGAAAGGGAATTCCCTGACCCCTTGTGCTTCCCAGGTGAGGTGATGCTTCGCCCTTCTTTGGCTCATGCGTGGTGCACTGTACCCACTATCCTGCACCCACTGACCAGCACTCCCCTGTGAGATGAGCCTGGTACCTTAGTTGGAAATGCAGAAATCACCCATTTTCTGCGTCATTCAAGCTGGGAGCTGTAGACTGGAGCTGTTCCTATTTGTCCATCTTGGCTCCACCAACCAAGACTAAATATTTTTTACAAGCATATTCAAATGGCCAACAGGTGTGTAGAAAGATGCTAAACATTACCATTCATGAGAAAATTGCAAATCAAAAGATACAACTTTACAGCAGTTGGAATGGCTAATATAAAAAAAAGAAATATGACAAGTGTTAACAAGGATGTGACAAAATATTTCTGTACAGTCTGAATGAGTTGCAAACTGGAAGAGTCATTATGAAAATTAGTTTGCAGGTTATTTTAAAAAATAGAACTATTGTACAATCCTGAAATTCCACTTCTGTCTATAAACAAATTAAAATCAGCATCTCAAAAATAATCTTCACCCCTGTATTCAATACAGCGTTATTCACAACTGTCAAAGGTATTTTTTTTTTTTAAAAAAACGACTTATCTGTAGATGTTGAATGGATAAGGAAAATGTGGTATAAATAGACAACCGAATATTATTCACCCATAAAAAAGAATGAAATTCTGCTATTTCAACAACATGAATGGACCTGGGTACATTATGCTACGCAAAATAAGCCAGGCACAGAAAGACAAACACTGTATGTTCTCACTTACATGGACAATTTAAAAAGCCTGAACTCATAGAAGCAGAGAGTACAATGGTAATGACCAGGGCTGGAGGTAGAAAAAATGATAAGGTGTTCAAAGAGTTCAAACTTCCAGTTATAAGATAAATAAGTTTTGGGGGTCTAATGTATAGCTTTAAGATGTAGTTAATAACAGTATTTTTTATGCTTAAAATTTGCTGCAACAGTAGGACACCTCAAATGCTCTCACTACAAAAAACATAACCATGTGAGGTGACATAAATGTTCATCAACTTAATTGTATTAAACATTTTACAATATATATAATTATCAAATTTTTATAATGTACACAATACATAATTATGCAATTTTTATTGGTCAAAAAATTAATGTTATGTACACATGCATATATTCACATAAGTGTGTATGTACACATATATAAAGCATATACATATATATCAATTACATATGTTGTTATGTATATACTTTTGTGTGTGTATATATATACACACATACATATCAATGAAAAAATCCTAGTAAGCTTCAAACTAAACAAGAGAAAATTATAAAATGATAACTATTTAAAAAACAGGAAACAAATGGGTATTTAATACATGCTCAGCAATATTCTGAGTTCCTCAATGGCAAAGTACATGTTTTAAATGTAGAAAGTAGATACATTAAACCATATTACAGTTTAGGAATTATGGCACAGAGTGTTTACAATATTAGCCTCAATACATACCAAAAACTTAGAATTTTGAAGTAAAATAACATTAGGTTTTACTACATGGGGCAGAAGCTTAGTGTTCTGATAAAATTATTGAGTATGAATTTCTGTAGAATCACATTTGAAACCTTCACAGGATATGAAATTATAAAGCAGAAAACATACGACATCTGGATGTGGTGTTTCTGGGATTTCTAAACCAAATCCCAATATCTCCACTACTCTCACACATTTTAGACAAGACTCAAAATGGAAATTAGAAAATGTTTAACATAGAGTTCCTTAAAAATCACAGATGGCCCCATGTCCTCAAAAGGAATAAAAGAGCAAGCAGCCAGGTCCTCCAGTCCCTTGTAAGCCATGCAAAGGGCTTTGATTTTCTTTGTAACCTAGAAGAATGATCTTTGAAGGGGAAGTCCAGTCCTAGAAAATTGAAGAGCATGGGGCAGAGGATGTCAGTCTCTAATGAAAGCAAGAGAAAGAAATCAGGGCTTTGCAGAAAAGGTTTCCATTGGAGCATAGCTTCGCAAACCACACTTTAAGATCTGGCTTTCTCCTTGATCTTTGGACATCTCGTCTGTGTCATCTGCCTTATTCACTCCCACCTATTTGGATGTTTGGCTACTATCTCCTGTCTCCTCACACTCTGGGGTTTTTTTTTTTTCTCAATGTAGGTGATCAGGATTAGCTTAGAGAACAGCCGAGGACTCTGTATTAGAAAAAGTAATATGACTTATTCTGTGATTTTCCAATTACTACTTAGTACTGTGCTCGGTGGAAAAAAACAGAACATTATAAAAGAGTCTAAAAATGTAATATCAAATACTATTTCCTCACAGAAACGTTATGATATTTAAAAACTTTTCTAAATTTGTGGGTCCTTAGCTCCATCACCCAGTGCTGCTGAATCAAAACTTGGTGGTGGTTGGCTGGGCATGGTGACTCACACCGCTGATCCCAGCACTTTGAGAGGCCAAGGCTGGCAAATCACTTAAGCCCAGGAGTTTGAGGTCAGCCTGGGCAACATGGCAAGACCTAGTCTATGGGTTGAGGGTGGGGAGGAGGGGGAAAGGTGGTGGTAATGGGGGGTGGTAATGCGATTATAAGGTATGGGCAACCATATTTTGTGCCTCTAAATTTGTGGAGTTACCACTAACCTAAAATTAAGGATACAGATCAGCTGAGGAAATAAAAAGATTTATGTCGAGATGAAACCTCCTCGTGGGGGTCCACAGCTGCAATACCGCCAGGCGGCAGCATCCCACCTCTTTCGACTGGCTGCAGCCCCACGAGGAGCCCGGCTCCAGCCGGGGCGCTGCGGCGCGTACTAGACCCGGAAGGTGCAGGCTCGGGTTTCCTGCCCTCCAGGGTGTCTTCCCACTCCCCGGACCCCAGGCAATTCAATTCATTCATCAAGTGCCTCTGCAACCATCCAAGTTGGGGCAGCAGGTCCCACAGTCGCCAGCCAAGACCTCCGCTCCAGAAACCATGGAATGCTTTCCCCGGGGGAAGTATATTGTCTTTGCCAGCCACGAAGAAATCCATCCCTGTGCACCTTGTTTCCCATTGCCACCGACTTCGTGTAAAGTGTAGTCCCGAGGACACGAGAGATACACAGACCTGGCCCCGTGGACACGCTCTGTGCCACAGCTTCCACCAGACGGACGGGTGCACTCTACAAGTCTCGGGGCCCACAGCACCAAGGAGACAGAAAGAAGCAAACAAAGGAAGGACCCTATGAAACGCACCCCCAAAGCAATCAACCAATCCAAGAAAAAAAAAAAACACGTCTCAGGGCTCCGCTGGTTTTCCCGCGTGGGCGGCCCTGACCCCCTGTCTTAGCCTGGCCCAAGCACCCTCCACCTCACCCCGGCCTGCTCAAAGTGCCCTGTCTACCTGAGCAGAGCCTCCCTCTCCAAGGCTCCGTCTTTCTCGCTCTGCAACTCCCTCACCCTCTCCCTTTCTCTACTTCCCCCTCCACCTCTCACTCTTCTGTCACCTTCTGTCTCTCTCCCCCTCCAACTTTCTCTCTCTCCCCCCATTTCTATCTCTCCATCCCGGTCTCCCTAGCTTTCTTTCAAGCTGTGTCTGTGTCTTTGTCTGTATGTCCTTGTGTGTGTGTCCGTGTGTGTTCGTGTGCGTGTGTCCATGTATCCGTGTGTGAGTCTTTGTGTGTCTGTGTGTGTCTGTGTGTGTGTCTGTGTGTTGTGTGTGTCCGTGTGTGTGCGTGTGTGCCTGTGCGCGTGCACCCGTGTGTAACTGTGTGTGTGTCGGTGTGGGTTTGCTCATGGTGGTGGTGTGGTGTGTCTGGGTGTCTGTCAGCCCCTCTTTCCCAGGATCAGGCTGCCGGGGCTCTAGTGCCAGCGCGGGGCAAAGCAGAGCCTTCCTGTCCTGTTGGCCATGGGCGGGTCCTCTTTGGAACAAGCGACGATGGTGTGGGCGTTATGAGAAAAAGGGCCCACGGGGCTGGGCCGGCTGTTCGCCCCTGGGCAGCCCTGGCGGACTCTGGGTGTGTGGGGCAAGAGGGGGCCTTGCAAGAGGGGCGGCGAGGGATCCAAATCAATTTTTCCGCGGCAAGGCGGAGGACCAGAGGTGATCCCAGGACTGTGGGCCCCGGGCCCTGACGCCTCCAAGCACACCCTGTCCTGAGCCGGCCCGAAGTGTTGGAAGCTCGGGAGCTCACGAGCTGGGGGAAGGCCTGGAATGTCAGTGAAAGGGAGGCCGCCTGATGTGCCTTGAGCCTGGGCAGGGGACTGAGGCATCAAGGCCTGATGACGGATTCCTGTTTCCTGCAACATGAGGAGTCTCCAAAATGGCCTGTTTGGAAACGAAAGGAGAGTGAAGACACGATGCTGCTTTTCCATGCTTCGCTGGAGGTTTCTGTGTCCCCACAGAGCTCGGGAAACAAACAGTCAACATGGTCACGCTTTCGGGGGCCAGAGACACGTGAGCAACAGCCCCCCCCCCCTTGCAGAAGGCAAAGGAACGTGGAATCCGGAACCACGGTTCACTCGGCTTGAGTGTGACTCCTGTGTGGATGGGAGTATCTGCCTTGCGCTCTGTTGTAGGCTTAGCGTGGGGAGGCTCACATGTCATCTGTGAACCATGTGGATGAAAAACGGACAACAATTCGAGTCTCGGCTCTGCTCTTTGGGGAATTCGCCCATTCCTTGGGAGGCGGAATTCGTCTGAATCGCTCCCGGGTGAAGTAACCCAGGCGATCCCGAGGGCCGGTGAGCCCACCGCCAGCCAATGCGGCCGTGGGCCGAGCACTCAGCCTGCACTGGGCACCCAACATTTTCCCGGAGTTCGAGGTCCTGCTGGTCCTGGTAGCAGAAGACTGCTTTTCTCTTTGCCTTCCTTTCTCTGTTTCTTGATCCTTTTCTCCCTCTGTCCATCCTTCCCTCTGTTCTTTCTTCTCTCCCTGTCTCCCTCTCTCCCTGCTTCCCTCTGTTCTTCTCTCCTTCCCTCTCTACCTCCATCCATACCTCCCTTTCTCCCTCCTTCCCTCCCTCCCTTCCTCTCTTTTTCTTTCCCTCTGTCCCTCCCTCCATCCCTTCCAAGGTCCCTCCTTTCATCCGTCCTTTCCTCCCTCTGTCCCTCCCTCTCACTTTGTCTCCGTTCCTTTCCCCATCTCTGCCTGGCTTCCCTCCCGCCTAGAAAGGGCAGAACCACGGTTTGCGCAAGATCTCGGGGTCTACATTTAGTTGCCGGGAGCTCCACGTGATGTGGCGGGGCATGGGTGGGCGAGGGAGGGTGGAGCGGGGAGGTAGTGGAGTTGAGCTGCGGAAAGGAGAGCAGGCCTGGCCGCTGCCCGGGCCAGTGTTTCCCGGGGTGGAGGTCTCCGCCTATACCACTGAAGAACGCGGGGGTCGTGGGGGGGATGTGTACCGCGTGGGGAGGCGGGGAAGGGATGAGAGCCCTGCCCGGGCTGGTCCCAAACCCTAGCCGGCTGCCCATGGACCCGCGCATGCGCAGTAGGCGGTCCATCTCTGAGTACCTGGGCTGGCTCTGAAATCCTTGGGATGCTCAGGAAAAGAATGACAGCCCTCCTTTCTGTGGAGTCTCTCGCCGGACCTGGACTCAGAGATCCTAGACAGGTCAGCTGGAAGGGAAGACACAGGTCTCCATACCGAGCCTGAGGTTCAGCGTGAAAGAGGGGCCACCCCCTGCCCCCACCCGGTCCCAACCCCGCGTCCTAAAGCTCCTCCAGCAGAGCCCCGTGTTCTTCCTGGCTGAGGAGTGGTTCCAGAAAAGCGGGATCTTCCATGTCCTTCAACTCCCCCAGTGGCTCCGTTGCTTGGAAAGGTTGTGCCTTTTGCTGAAATTCTGGGGTCGACAGGAGCTCATATAATAGGGTGGATGCGAGTGCAGATGAACGCTCCAGCTCCTGGAGCGGTTGGGAGGGTGCCTGGATGGCTTACATCTGCTTCTGACACGCAGAGGCCTCCATGGGCGCGAGCTGCGGAGGTAGATGTGCCTCGGCTTCGCGTTCCCATGCGCCCTGGCGACCTGGGGACCCTGGCCCCAGACCCATTACGGACTCATGTGGGACGTGTGCGGCACAAGCACACCTTGCCCCTGTGACTCAGCCTGAGCGGCTCAAGTTGTCCCACTGAGCACGCACACAGCAGGCCGCCGTGCTGCGGGTCCTGGTCCCCCTGCCATCTGTTCGGGTGCGGAGGTCACCCAGGTGTCTGAGGGTGGGACAGCGCCACTTCCGAAGGAGCCAGGGCAGCAAACTCAAAATCCCCGAGTGCCACGGCAGATCGGGAGATTCTTTCCGCCTGCAAAGCCTGGCTGGGCTGCAGCAGAGGGGCCACCCTTGCTGTCTGGCTCACGAAAGCCCCCTGTTCCCCACGCCCTGGAGTGGGTGAAGGCGACCAAGGAGGGAGGGTGGCACCCGTGGTGGGCCGCGTTGCACAGGCATCCTGCGTGCGCGGGTTCCCTGCCACCCTGGCCTGGATGCCTCGACCTTCGATTCTGACATGAAATCTGAATCCTGGACTCCAAAAGGCAGGTCTCTCTGGACAGTTTGGGTACGGGTTCCGCTCAAAGCACGCTAGCAGGGAATCTTTTTTGTTCAGGTTACAAACCAGTCTCCTTCACCGTCCTCGTCCTCGGGCTTCCGCGGGGAAGGGGCTGTCAGAAGGTGTCGGGAGAGCCATCGCGAGGGCACCTCACCGGAATTTCACGGACAGACACGGGCAGAGAGAGGCCGGCGGCTCCTGTGCGCCTCAGTTGGCCTCTGTGCTGCACGCAGGTCCAGTCAGGAGTCCGACCCCGCCAGTGGCCCTTATAAAGACCCATCAGCTTCACCCCTTCATGAATATGCATGAGCACACAAGGGCCCTGGGTAAGCCGCCCTCCGAAGCCAGAAACCACAGACACAGGGCCCTGTGTGGTAGGCGAAGGTGGGGCCAGATCGGCCAGGAAAGGGGGGCTTCTGGGGCTGGCTCTCTGAGTTCTCCAGAATTCTACGGAAACTGGAAGTTTCTCTCTGGGCTCACATACGATTTCAGGAAGAAACCACCCTGGAAGGGTGGAGTGTGGAACTGAACCTCCATGACAGTCTTGAGTTTTCCAGGCCCTCTCCGTGAAGGCGGCAATGCCTGTGGGTGTCGCCGTTGCCGTGATAGTCTCACACACGCAGGTGTGTGGATCTCATTCATTTTCTTTTTTTATTTTTATTTTTTATTTCTACCTCTTAAAGTCAATGATAATGTCACAAGTGTAAAATGAATGCATTTAAAAACATAAAAGATACATTTCAATGACAAGAAATATGCAATGATCATGAAAATCTACTGTACACTTTGCCAAGGTCAAAGAATGAAAGACAATATGGAAAAGCCAATCTTTAAATATATCCTTAATAAAAACTCTCTCCTACATAGTAAAAGCATCATCTAAACAGCAGCTCCAACCAAGAAAAAAAAAAAAAAAAAAAAGCAGAGTAGATGGGACAGATAACTTTCCCCAGGTTTTCCAGACAAAAACATGTGGTCACCAGGAATTCAAGGTAACTTCAAAAGCCACATTTAATTCAAAATAAAATGAACATTTCTGACAGATGACAGCAGTATGATACTGATTTTTTTCTTTCCTAGATACAAATGATATGGGGCATTTCTTAACAGTTTAGTAATCATCTAAGAATAACTGTAGAAATAACCCCAATTCCACCATCCCAGCCACTGGTATAAAACAAATAACCTTCCATTGATACTGTCTTTCACATAACTAAAATATCCTCACTTACTTGGAACAATTTCATGCTTACACATGATCACAAACACTTGTTTTTAGATGTTGTGGAATTATTGGAGCTGAGATTTTTGAAACAATATCTGAATCTTAGCAGAAACCTAATAATCCTTTCACTATACATTGATTGGGCTTCCTTAACCAAATCTGAGCAACTACTGTAGTAATAATGCTGGTGGTAATCCATGCTACTCTCAAATTTTTCCCTTTAAGAAATATATAATCCATGTAATTCTAGCAAATATGTTACATTGCACACTTTCTTAACAAGGATTGGCTGTTTTCAGGCCTTATTACGAAAACAAAGAAACAAACAATGGCAGTTACTATCTGTTTTTTATCACTGATAAGCTACAATGAAACTCAAATATGAGAGTTTAATTGTGTGATATTAAGTAAAAAATGAAAACCATTATAGTTTTACCAAAAGAAACATAAAAAAAATGGGAAGAAGTCAAATGAGCATGGCATAAGTCCCAAAGATTACACTATGATTCTGAACAGGATTTTCCAAACAAAGGTTATCTACATACAATTTCTGTGAATATTTCTTGCACTAGAAAGATCCAAAGCAAATGTAGGCTGAGCCCTACCTTGTCAAAGATAAATATTCAGATAAACTAGAAGTTCCATCTGCTAAAGTGCATCCACTGACCAGGTCTACCATGGCCCTGCTACTTACAGCCATCTAAGAAATTGGCCTCACTCATGCTCATTCACTCGTTCTGTGGCCTATCAAGAGTCACACATAATAATGGTTTTGCTTTTTTAAAAAAAACAAATACTTTATACAGTGAACTACAGAAAAAACAATTCTAAATATACTTTTAAAATTCTAGAGAGTTAAGGTAACCTCATTTTTAAAAATACTGAAAATGTAAAGGGTCCATATAAAGAGTTGTATTAAGTACATACTTCCTATTTTAATAATTCACTTGCTGTGCTCTTAAAATCTCTCTGAGAGAAGCAGATATTTTACTCGTGTCTTTTGGCAAGAGATTGAAAAGCAAAAGTAGCAGGGCTGTAAAATTTCATAAAATTTGTGGGATTTTTAAAAGCTAAATTATTCAGTATTTTGTATTGTTATTACACTCATATATTGCCCGGAATATATATACAGCAACCCAGCAACAGTGATTGCAACAAAAGTAAGGTAAACAGGTCTACAAAGCATTTGATTTCCTTATTAGATAAATGAAGTTTTCATAGAGGAAGTGCAAATTCAGATCAGGTTACATATGCTTAACAATTATTTAAACCTTATATAAAATTAAATCTAACCCTCACCACTACAAATCTGTAAGGAATCACTGTCAGGAATCTACAGGACTTGGCTCTTATTTACATTCGACACACAATTAGAAATTTCATAAATGATGAGATGCCGGCCAAGGGGATTCTTCAAAGACCTCCACCCAAAAGGAAAAGAAAGAGAGCTAAACAGAGAATTACCACTTACATATTTGTGGGTAATCAGCTTATTCCTCAGCCTCTAGACAGTGAGGAGGATGAAGAAATGGAAGAAGATAACAAAGAAGAGGAAGAAAAAGATCACAGTGAAACGATGAAGCCAGAGGAGCCACCTCAAAATTTACTGAGAGAAAAAAATCATGAAGCTGCCCCTCCCTGAATCTTTAAAAGCTTACTTGACATATTTTAGAGATAAATAACTTAGATCAAGAAGAAAGAATGCCTACTGATAATTCCTTTAGTCTTGAAAATGTAGCATTTGTTAGGAATTAAAAGAATTATTTATTTCATCAGAGCAAATTATAGTGAAAAAAATCACTTGTTACTGTCAGTAACATAAATGATGTATTGAGTGAATAAAAGAATCCCTTTTATAAAATCTATTTTTCTTTAAATCTTGGAAAATTGTTGTTTCACCTCAGAGTGATTTCAAAGTGGAATGTAACAGTAGTCAAGACTTGTGTGCTATTTCTGATTCTCCCTTTTCTCATTCCTTACGGATCTCGTTCATTTTCATGTGGAAAACGAGAGCGAAACTACAGAGAAAAGAAACCCCCGGTGCATCACGGCCTGAGGATGGATTCCTGTTTCCTGCGACATGGGGAGTCTCCACTATGGCCTGTTTCCAAACAGGAAACTGGAAAGGAGAGCGAAGACACGATGCTGCTTTTCCACGGTTCTCTGGAGGTTTCTGTGTCCCCACAGAGCTCGGGAAACAAACAGTCAACATGGTCACGCTTTCGGGGGCTAGAGACGCATGAGCAACAGGCCCCCTTGCAGAAGGCAAAGGAACGTGGAACCCGAAACCACGCTTCAGTCGGCCTGAGTGTGACTCCTGTGTGGACGGGACTATCCACCTCGCGCTCCGTTGCAGGCTCAACGTGGGGCTATCTCATCTGTGAACCATGTGGATGAAAAATGGACAATCACCCGAGTCTCGGCTCATTGCTCTCTGGGCAGTTCGCTCATTCCTTGGGAGACGAAATTCGTCTGAATTGCTCCCGGATGAAGTAACCCAGGCTGGCGATCCGGAGGGCCGGTGAGAGCGCCGCAGGCCGACGCGGCTGTGGCCCGAGCACTTAGCCTGCACTGGGCACCCAACATTTTCCCGGAGTGCGAGATCCTGCTGGTCCTGGAGGCAGAAGACTACTTTTCTCTCTGCCTTCCTCTCTCTGTTTCTTGCTCCCTCCCACCCTCTTTCCCTCCGTCCCTCCCTCAGTTCCTCCCTTCCTCCCTCCCTCCTTCCCTCTCCCCCTCCTTCTATCCCTCCATCCTTTCCAAGGTCCCACGGTCCATCCGTTCTTTCCTCCCTCCATCGCTTTCTCCCTCTCTGTCTCCGTTCGCCTCCCCATCTCTGCCTGAGTTCCCTCCCGCTTAGAAAGGGCAGCACCCTGGCTTGCACGGGGTCTCGGGTCTGCATTTAGCTGTCAGGCGCTCCACAGCGATGCCGAGGAAGCTGGCGGGGCAAGGGTAGGCGAGTGAAGGTGGGGCGGGGAGGCAGAGGAGGAGAGACGCGGAAAGAAGAGCAGGCCTGGCGTCTGACCGGGCCAGTGTTTCCCGGGATGGAGGTCTCCGCCCGCCCCACTGAAGAACGCGGCAGGGGGCAAGAGGGAAGGGAAGAGAGCTCCGCCTAGGCTAGTTAGAAAACCTAGGCTACTGCCTGCTAATCCGCACATGAGCAGTAGACGGTCCGCCTCCCGGTACCTGGACGGGCCCTGGGATCCCCGGAATGCTCAGCAAAGAATGATAGCCCTCCTCTGAGTGGAGTCTCTCACGGGACCTGGAACTCAGGGATCCTAAGCAGGTCAGCTGGAAGGGAAGACAAGCCGCTCCATACCGAGTCAGAGGTTCACTGCGAAAGAGAGGCCGCGGCCCTGCCCCCACCCCACCCCAACCCCGCGTCCTAAAGCTCCTCCAGCAGAGCCGGGTGTTCTTCCTGGCTGAGGAGTGGTTCCAGCGGAGCGGGCTCTTCCACGTCCTTCAGCTTCCCCAGTGGCGCCGGATCTAGGAAAGGTTGTGCCTTTTGCTGAAACTCTGGGCTTGACAGGAGCTCATCTAACAGGCTGGGGGTGTGTGTAGACGAGCGCCCCGACTCCTGGAGTGGTTGGGAGGTGCCTGGATGGCTTGCATCTGTGGTTGACGCGGAGGCCTCCGGGGTCGCGAGCTTCAGAGGTGGAGGTGCCCGGTATTCGGTTTCCCATGCTGCCCTGGCGACATGGGGCTCTAGCCCCACCCGGACTCCGGTGGGACGTGGGTGGCGCAAACACACCTTGCCCCTGTGACTCAGCTTGAGGGGGCCCAAGCTGTCCCACTGAGCACGCACCCAGCAGGCCGCCGTGTTGCGGGTCCTCTTCCTCCTGGCATTTGTTAGGCTGCGGAGGCCACCGAGGAGTCTGAGGGTGGGACAGTCCTACTTCCAGAGGAGCCAGGGCAGCGAACACAAAATCCCCGCGTGCAGGGGCAGGTTGAGAGATTCCTTCTGCCTGCGCAGCCTGGCTGGGCTGGAGCGGGGGGAAGGCCCTTGCTCCCTGGCTCACGAAAGCCCCATGTGGAGAGCCCCAGGCGTGCAGGGCGTGTGGGGTGCGGGAAGCCCTGTTCCCCACGCCCCTGTGTGGGTGAACTCGATTGAGGAGGGAGGAGGATGACACCCGCTGGGGATGTTAATTAGTAACCACAGTGGCCTCAAAGAGCTCAAATGAAAGGAAGAATTGCATGTCTCTCAATTTAAGTCCAGAGCTAGAAATGATTAAGCTTACTGAAGATGTAAAATTTTCATTGCTAGAGAGACATCAACACTTGACTTCAAAACTTCAAAGGATGGGCTGACTCTCTTTGAGGACCACTGCAGTTGGTGACTTTAAGTTATAGCCAATGCTCATTGACCACTCTGAAAAACTCAGGGCCCTTAAGAATTATGCAAAATCTATTCTTTCTGTGCTCTAGAAATGGAACATCACAATCTGAGTGACAACACATCTGTTAAGAGCATGGTTTACTGAATATTTTAATCCCACTATTGAGACCTACTGCTCAGAAAAAAACAAAAAACAAAAAAAGAAAAAACAAAAATGATTCCTTTAAAGGATTGCTGCTTGGCCAGGCACAGTGGCTCACACCTGTAATCACTGCACTTTGGGAGGCGAGGTGGGTGGATCGCCTGAGGTCAGGAGTTGGAGACCAGCCTGGCGAAAATGATGAAACCCTGTCTCTAATAAAAACACAAAAAAATTAGCCGGCCATGGTGGTGGTACCTGTAATTTCAGCTACTTGGGAGGCTGACGCAGAAGAATGGCTTGAACCCTGGAGGCGGAGGTTGCAGTGAGCCGAGACCACGCCACTGCCCTCCAGCCTGGGTAACAAGAGGGAAACTACATAAAGGAAAAAAAAAAGGAAAGAAAAGAAAAAAAGAAAAAAGATAGCTGCTTATTGACAATTCACCTAGCTACCCAGAAGCTTAGATGGAGATGTACTTGGAAATTAATGTTATTTTCATGGCTGCTAATACAATATCTATCCTTCAGCCTGTGGATCAAGGAGTGGTTTTGACTTTCAAGTGTTTATATTAAATAATAAATGCATTTTATAAAGGTATAGCTGTCATAGATAGTGATTTCTTTGATGAATCTGGATAAACTGAATTGAAAACCTTTTGGAAAGGTTTCACCATTAATCCCTTCATGATATTTCAACCTCCTCCCGTGAATCACAAATGTCCTTAATAGCAAATGCCATTAAGGACATTTGTGATTGATGGGAGGAGGTTGAAATATCAACATTAACAGGAGTTTGGAAGAAGTTGATTCCAGCCCTCATGGAAGACTTTGAGGGCTCAGGATGTCAGTGGAGGAAGTCCCTACAGATGTGGTAGAAATCACAAGACAACCAGAATTAGAATTAGGGCCTTAAGATGAGATTAAATTGCTGTAAACTCATGATGAAACTTGAACAAGTGGGGAGTTGCTTATGGATGAGCAAAGAAAATATTTTCTTGAGATAGAATCTACTCCAGGTGGAGATGCTATGAAGTTTGTTGAAATAACAACAAAGGATTTAGAATATTCCATAAACCTAGTTGATAAAGCAGCAGCAGGGTTTGAGAGGGTTTACTCCAATTTTGAAGGAAGTTCTACTGTGGATAAAATGCTATCAAACAGCATCACATGCTACAGGGAAATGTTTTGTGAAAGGAACAAACTTCATTGTTTTAAGAAATTGACACAGGCACCCAATCTTCAGCAGCCCCCACACTGATCAGTCAGCAGCCATCAACATAGAGGCAAGACCCTCACTGTAGAGAAAAGAAAGAGAGATCAGACTGTTACTGTGTCTATATAGAAAGGAAAAACATAAGAGACTCCATTTTGAAAGACTTGTACTTTAAACAATTGCTTTGCTGAGATGTTGTTAATTTGTAGCTTTGCCCCAGCCACTTTGCTTCAGCCACTTTGACCCAACCTGGAGCTCACAAAAACATGTGTTGTATGAAATCAAGGTTTAAGCGATCTAGAGCTGTGCAGGACGTGCCTTGTTAACAAAATGTTTACCAGCAGTATACTTGGTAAAAGTCATTGCCATTCCCTAATCTCAATAAACGAGGGGCATAATGCACTGCAGAAAGCCGCAGGGACCTCTGCCCTTGAAGGCAGGGTATTGTCCAAAGTTTCTCCCCATATGATAGTCTGAAATATGGCCTCGTGGGATGAGAAAGACCTGACTGTCCCCCAGCCCGACACCCATTCAGAGTCTGTGCTGAGGTGGATTAGTAAAAGAGGAAAGCCTCTTGCAGTTGAGATAGAGGAAGGCCACTGTCTACTGCCTGCCCCTGGGAACTGAATGTCTCAGTATAAAACCCGATTGTACATTTCTTCAATTCTGAGATAGGAGAAAAACCGCCCTATGGTGGGAGGACAGACATGTTTGCAGTAATGCTGCTTTGTTATTCTTTACTCCACTGAGATGTTTGGGTGGAGAGAAACATAAATCTGGCTTACGTGCACGTCCAATCATAGTAACTTCCCTTGAACTTAATTATGACATAGATTCTTTTGCTCACATGTTTTTTGCTGACCTTCTCCTTATTATCACCCTGCTCTCCTACTACATTCCTTTTTGCTGAAATAATGAAAATAATAACCAATAAAAACTAAGGGAACTCAGAGGCCGGTGCTTGTGCAGGTCCTTGTCATGCTGAGCGCTGGTCCCCTGGGCCTACTGTTGCTTCTCTATACTTTGTCTCTGTGTCTTACTTGTTTTCTCAGTCTCTCGTCCCACCTCACTAGAAATACCCGCAAGTGTGGAGGGGCAGGCCACCCCTTCACTCACCAGCAAAAAGATTATGACCTGATGAGGCTCAGATATTCATTAGTATTTTTCAGCAATGAGGTATTTTAAGTTAAGGTATGTACATAGTTTTTTAGACATAATGCGATTACTAATTAATTAATAATTAATTATTAAATACTCATTAGACTACAACATAGTTTAAGCATAACTTTTATAAACACTGGGAAACAAAATGTGTATGTGACTAACTTGATTGTAACATTTTCCTTATTGTGGTTGTCTGGAACCAAACCCACACTATCTCTGAGTATGCTTGTAGGTTTTTGGTTGTTCTTTGTTTTGAGATGGGGTTTCGCTCTGTCACCCAGGCCAGAGTGCAGTGGCATGATCTTAGCTCACTGCAGCCTCAAACTGCTGGGTCAAGTGATTGTTCTACCACAGCCTCCTGAGTAGCTGGGACTACAGGCATGCAGCACTATGCCTGGCTATTTTTTTTTTTTTTGAGACAGAGTCTCGCTCTTTCGCCCAGACCAGAGTGCAGTGGCGCTATCTCGGCTCACTGCAAGCTCCGCCTCCCGGGTTCATGCCATCCTCCTGCCTCAGCCTCCCGAGTAGCTGGGACTACAGGCGCCCACACCAGGCCCGGCTAATTTTTTGTATTTTTAGTAGAGACGGGGTTTCACCGTGTTAGCCAGGATGGTCTCGATCTGCTGACCTCGTGATCTGCCCGCCTCGGCCTCCCAAAGTACTGGGATGACAGGCGTGAGCCACCGCGCCCGGCCTGCCTTTTCTTTCTAGTGGCTCAAGCCCCATGGTGTGTGGTGCGCCTGATCTCCGATGCTTTTGAACAGTGTAGAAACTGTTGCTGTCTGTATTTAATTTTTTTCTACATGTATGGTCTCGATCGATCACAAGAAGATCAATAAGCCCTTCTCCTTATTCTACTTCCCTTTCTAGCAACGGAGAACTTTGATTGGATTTTTCCTGCCTACAGACAGGAATGAGTCTGCTGTTTTCTTTTTTAATCCCGAGGGGACTGAGCCTGAGGGCCTCGAGCGCGGCCAGACTCCCCAAACCCCCAACTGGTGATTGTGGTGGTGGTGGTGGTGGTTTTGTGTTCCAGCTTCTGTTCTGTTGTTGTTGCTGCTGCTGCTGCTGGTGCTGTCGTCATTGTTTTGGTATTTTACAGACTCAGGGGGTGTATGTGCTTGTTTGTTAGATCAGCTTACTACTGCTTCCGGATGTAGAAGTGGACCTCCAGTGTATCCGTTACCCACGTGGTGGACGTTGTCTCTGAGGGGCGATTAATTCATTCCTCGTCCCCCTCTTACCCTCCTCCTCCCTTTTGGAGTGTCTGTTATTTCCATCTTGATGACCGTGCGTGTACCCATTATTTACCTCCCACTTGTAAGCAGAAGGCAGTTCACTGGGTACATACTTGCTTCCAGCTCTACCCATGTTGTGGGAAAAGACGTGAAATCACTCTTTTTGTGCCTGCACAATTGGAGAATTTTAACTTTTTTCTCTTCTTTTCTTTTCTTTCTTTTCTTTTTTTTTTTCTTTTATTTCCTCCTCCTCCTCCTTCTTTTTTTCATAGTTTTCAGCTGGGCTCTCCTACTTGTGTTGCTCAGTTGCTAGGGCTGGTCTCGAACTCCTGGACTTGACACTTCTCCCATCACATCAACCGCCTGATTGTTGAAATGAGCATCTCTTGTAAAATTGAAAAGATGAAAAAAATAAAGAGAAAGACAAAAAGCACGGGGTGAACGTTTCTCTTGCCGCCTCCCAGGGTGTACCTTGGACCCAATAGGAGGGAGGGAGCTTGACTGGGTGGGTTTTCAGTGCTAAATCCTCCCGAGGGCCTCCTTCCCTCTCCCCCTTGTCCCCGCTTCTCCCCCAGCCAAGGCTCCCACCGCCGCTGTGGGATTTTCCGTGGGAGAGGTATGGGAGAGGACTGACGCGGCTTCCAGATCTATATCCTGTCAGACGTCTCTGGCTCAGCGTCCCCCACCGGCTGCCTGCCACCTTCCAAGGAGCTCTGAGGCCGATGCCCCGCCCCCCTTCATGTCCAGCCACCCTCCACCGGCTGGCCTACGCCCGGCGACCCCAAGGGAGCCGCGTTGACGCTTTCTTCTTTTTTTTCTTGTTTTATTTTATTATTATTATAGTTTAAGTTTTAGGGTACATGTGCACAACGTGCAGGTTTATTACATATGTATACATGTGCCATGTTGGTGTGCTGCACCCATTAACTCGTCATTTAGCATTAGGTATATCTCCTAATGCTATTCCTCCCCCCACCCCACAAGAGTCCCCGGTGTGTGAAGTTCCCCTTCCTGTGTCCATGTGTTCTCATTGTTCAGTTCCCACCTATGAGTGAGAACATGCGGTGTTTGTTTTTTTGTCCTTGTGATAGTTTGCTGAGAATGATGGTTTCCAGTTTCATCCATGTCCCTACAAAGTACATTAACTCATCATTTTTTTTGGTGCATAGTATTCTAAGGTGTCGAATCCTCCAGTGAGTACTTCCACTAGATTCCCCGGGTGGGCCGGATGCATGGGATGAGACTGGACCACCCCGGACCGTGCTGTTCTTGGTGGTGGGTTGACGTACAGGGTGGACTGGCAGCCCCAGCATTGTAAAGGGTGCCCAGGTATGGAAATGTCACATAGGATGCCCTCCTTACAGTCAGCCTGCCTTCAGCTTCCTCAGGCATGAAGACAACTTCCCATCAGATCCTCTTTTCTTCCCTTTCTCCACCACACAGATGAGACGCATGAGAGGGAGAAACAGCTCAATGGATACTGCTGACCTTCATTTGTGGAATCCTCAGTCATCTACAGACAGAGAGGTGACTAGACAGAGACCCAAATCAAACTCCATTTCCGGGTCCTCATGGTGGGATTGGTCTCTCTCTCTCTCTCTCTCACACACACACACACACACACACACACACACACACACAATTTCCACATCTAGTTCACAAACCACACTAATTTATCCTTTTCACAGTATGCAGTCTGAGTAAAACCCACCTCACCCTCCACCCGGCGGCTGACGAAACCCCTTCTCTACAATTTATTAAAAAGATTATCTGGGCCGGGCACAGTGGCTCATGACTGTCATTCCAACACTTTGGGAGGCCAAGGGGGGTGGATCACTTGAGGCCAGGAGTTCAAGACCAGGCTGGCCAACATGGCGAAACCCCATCTCTATGAAAAATAGAACAATTAGCCAGGCCTGGTGGCATAGGCTTGTAATCACAACTACTCAGGAGACTGAGAAGGGCGAATTGCTTGAACCAGGGAGGCCGAGGTTGCAGTGAGCTGAGATCATGCCATGGCAATTATTGAGACAGAGTGAGACTCTCTCAATAATCATAATATTATTATAAGGTTAGTTGTGCGTGCTGATACCTGACTGTAGTCGCAGCTACTCGTGAGGCTGAGATAAAGAGAAGATCACTTGAGGCCCCACAGGTTGAGGCTTCAGTCAGCTGTGACCCACTGTACCCTGGGCAGTCACCAGTCAAGGAGATATGCCCTTCCCCATTTTCTTTCTTTTCTTTCTCTTCTTTTCTTTTCTTTTCTTCTCTCTTCTTCTCCCTTTCTTTCTTTCTCTTTCTTTCTTTCTTGCCTGCCTCACTGCCTTCCTGCCTTTCTTCTTTCCTCCCTTCCTCCCTTCCTTCTTTCCTCCCGCCTCGGCCTCCCAAAGTGCCAGGATTACTGGCGTGAGGCACCATGCCTACTTGGCCTAAAGGGACACCCTTTGAAAGTAAGACACAGACAGCGCCATCCAGTGATCTGATTGATTGATTGACTGATTTAGAGACAGTGTCTCACTCTGTCACCCTGGCAGTGGTGCCATCATAACTCACTCAATGCAGCATGGACGCTTCTGGACTCAAGCGATCCTTCCACATCAGCCTCCAGAGTAGAGTACCTGGGACCACAGGCACGCGCCATTGTGCCCAGATCATTTTTATTTATTTATTTATTTTTTTCCCGAGACAGAGTTTCGCTCTTGTTGCCCAGACTAGAGTGCAATGGCGCAATCGTGGCCCACCACAACCTCTGCCTCCCGGGTTCAAGCGATTCTCCTGCGTCAGCCTCCTGAGTAGCTGGGATTGCAGACATGCACCACCACGTCTGGCTGATTTTGTATTGTTAGTAGAGATGGGGCTTCTCCATGTTGGTCAGGCTGGTCTCGAACTCCCGACCTCAGGTGATCCGCCCTCCTCGGCCTCCCAAACTGCTGGGATGGCAGGCGTGAGCCACTGCTCCTGGCCTTCATTTTTAAATGTTTTTCCACAGAAAGGGTCTCATCATTTTGTTGCAACCCTCCTGACCCGGCGTCTCAAAGTGCTGGCGTGAAGGGCTTGAGCCACTGCACCTTGACTCCGGGGAATGATTCACGACCATGACCGCTGTACTCTTTCTTTCTTTCTTTCTTTCCTTTCTTCTTTCTTTCTTTTCTTCTTTCTTTCATTTATTGATGAATTTTTTTATTATTGATTGATTGATTGATTTTGAGAGGGAGTCTTGCTCTGGTCGAGGCGATGCAAGGCGAGGCGCATCGTTCTAAAGCCCCATTCAAATGCACAAAGCCCTATTTCCTTCCTGGAGTTGGAGCTGATGCCTTCCATTGCCTTGGACTTCTCTCCATTCAGAAGATTTTACAGGTGCAACCCCACCCAGAGGCTGGCTGCGGCTGAGGATTAGGGGATGTGGTGGGGCTGGAAACTCGGTCCCCTATTGTTGCAAGCTCAGCCAAGACATTCCCCGACCCCCATCGCTTGCTCACCCTTTGAGATCCCCTGCCTTCACCGCCTTGGAGGCTGACCTCTTAATTTAATTTCTGTCTTTCTTCCTTTCCTGAGTTTGAGGAGGGGGTGCAGGAATGAGGGTGTGTGGGGGGAGGGGGTGCGTGGTGGGGACGGAGGGGAGCGTCCTAAGGGTCGATTTAATGTCATGTCTCTTTCACCGCCACCACCTAGGATGAAAGCAACAATCAGCTAAATACCGTGTGTTCTCATCCATAAGTGAGAACTTATAGATGAGAATTCTGCGTGGGCAGAACGAGGGTGACGAGAGACGCGGGAGCCTACTTGAGGGAGGAGGGGTGGAAGGAGAGACAGCTTCAGGAGAAACCAAACCAAAACAAAACATGAAAACTGTCGAGTACTGCACTGAGTGTCCGGGCGATGAAATCATCTGCACACTGAACCCCCCCGTCAGAAGTTTACCTATGTAACGATCTTGCACATGTATGTTTGAACAAGAAATGAAAGTTAGGGGAGAAAGAGAGAGAAAGGGAGAGAGAGAGGGAAAGAGAGAGAGAGAGAAGTGAAACGAAACACCACCTCCTTGACCTGAGTCAGGGTGTTTCTGGCCTTTTAGGGGAACATTCAGCGACAATGCAGTACTTGGGCCTGTTCTTTTTTTTTTTTTCTTCTTTTCTTTTTTTTGGATTGAGTCTCTCTCGCTCTTTCACCCAGGCTGTGGTGCAGTGGCGCTCTCTCGGCTCACTGAAACCTCTGCTTCTCGGGTTCCAGTGATTTTTCTTTGGTAGCTGGGATTACAGGCGCGCACGACGATAGCAGGCTAATTTTTCTATTTTTAGTAGAGATGAGGTTTCTCCATGTTGGCCACGTTGGTATTGAACTCCTGACCTCAAGTGATCCACCCTCCTGGGCCTCCCAAAGTGCTGGGACGACAGGCCTGAGCCACCGGGATTTCAGCCTTTAAAAGCGCGGGCCCTAACATTTTTCCCTGCGGCCCTTATGCTCAGAATGACATGTCCTGTCTGCCATAGGTTGACTCGTTGAGTCCCCTATGCCATTGCACTCTAGCCTGGGCAGCAAGAGCGAAACTCCGTCCTCCCACCTTCCCGTGCAAATAAATAAATAAATAAATAAATAAATAAAATCTCTACACATGACATATAAGTGTGTGTTCCCATGAGTTATTTCTAAGAAATGGCACTGTACACAGAATGCAGTGGCTCACGTCTGTCATCCCAGCACTTTGGGAGGCCGCGGTGGGTGGGTCACGAGGTCAGGAGTTCAAGACCAGCGTAGCCAACATGGTGAAACTGACTCAGTTTCGTATTTTCAATCTCTACTGAAAATACTAAACTGAGTCGGGCGCGGTGGGGCAGGCACCTGTAGTCCCAGCTACTCGGGAGGTTGAGGCGGGAGAATCTCTTGAACCTGGCAGGCAGAGGTTTCAGTGACCCGGGATGGTGCCACTGCACTATAGCTTGGTCGACAGAGTGAGACTTGGTCTCCTAATAAATAAATGAAAGAAAGAAAGAAAGAAAGAAAGAAAGAAAGAAAGAGAAAAGAAGAAAGGAAAAAAGAAAAGAAAAGAAAAGAAAAAGAAAAGAAAAAAGAAAACCAGAAAAGAAAGATACAATGAAAGAAAAGTCACTGTATCGCTACTGGGCTAGGACCTTCCCTCTTTCTGTCTGTTTCTCTGTCTCTCTCTGTCCATCTCTGTCTTTCTCTATCTGTCTCTTTCTCTGCCTGCCTGTCTGTCTGTCTCTTTCTTTCTCTCTCTCTCTCTGTCTCTCTCTCTCTGCCTGTCTCACGATGTCTGTCTTCTGTCTAACTCTCTTTCTCTGCCTGTCTCTCTCTCTCTCCCTCCCTCTCTGTTTCTCTCTCTCTGTCTCTCTCTGTCTGTTTCTCTCTCTCTCTGTTTTTCTCTGTCTCTCTGTCTCTATTTCTTTTTCTGAGTCTCTGTCTGTCTCTCTCGCTCTCTCTCTCTCTGTCTCTCTCTCTGTGCCTATCTTCTGTCTTACTCTCTTTCTCTACCCGTCTGTCTCTCTCTCTGTCTGTCCCTCTCTCTCCCTTTCTGTCTCTCTCTCTCTCACTCTCTCTCTGTCTGTCTCTCTTTCTGTCTGTTTCTCTCTGTCTCTCTCTCTCCATGTCTGTATGTCTCTCTCTTTCTTTCTCTCTGCCTCTGTCTGTCTCTCTCTGCCTGTCTCTCTCACTGTGTCTGTCTTCTGTCTTACTGTCTTTCTCTGCCTGTCTCTCTCTCTCTCTCCCTCCCTGCCTGTCTCTCTCTCTCCCTCCCTGCCTTTCTGTTTCTCTCTGTCTGTCTCTGTCTGTCTCTTCTTCTGTCTGTCTGTCTCTCTCTTTCTTTTTTTTTTTTTTCAGATGGAGTCTCACTGTTTCACGCAGGCTGGAGTGCAGTGGCGCCATCTTGGCTCACTGCAAGCTCCACCTCCCAGGTTCACGCCATTCTCCTGCCTCAGCCTCCCGAGTAGCTGGGACTATAGGCGCCCGCCACCACACCTGGCTAATTTTTCGTATTTTTAGTAGAGACGGGATTTCACCGTGTTAGCCAGGATGGTCTCGATCTTCTGACCTCACGATCCGCCCGCCTTGGCCTCCCAAAGTGCTGGGATGAGAGGAGTGAGCCACCGTGCCCAGACTGTCTCTCTCTTTCTTTCTCTCTCTCTCTTTCTCTCTCTCTCTCTCTCTCTGTGCCTATCTTCTGTCTTTCTCTCTCTGCCTGTCTCTCTCTCTCTCTCTGCCTGTCTCTCTCTCTCTCTGTCTGTCTCTCTCCCTCCCTGTCTGTTTCTCTCACTCTGACTCTCTGGCTCTCGCGTGCTCTCTTTCTGTCTCTCTCTCACGCTATTTCTCTCTGTCCGTCTCTCTGTCTTTTTCTCTGTCTCTCTCTTTCTTTCTCTCTGTCTCTGTCTCTCTCTCCCTCTATTTCTCTCTGTCCATCTCTCTGTCTTTTTCTCTGTCTCTCTCTTTCTTTCTCTCTGTCTCTGTCTCTCTCTCCCTCTGCCTGTCTCTCTCACTGTGTCTGTCTTCAGTCTTACTCTCTTTCTCTGCCTGTCTGTCTGTCTCTCTCTCCCCATCTCTTTCTGTTTCTCTCTCTCTCTATCTCTCACTCTCTCCATCTCTCTCTCTTTCTGTTTCTGTCTCTCTCTGTCTGTCTCTGTGTGTCTGTCTGTTTCTCTCTCTTTGTCTCTCTCTCTTTCTGTTTCTCTCTGTCTGTCTCTGTCTCTCTCTCTCTCTCTCTGTCTCTCTCCCTCCCTGTCTGTCTGTTTCTCTCTCTCTCTGTCTCTGTCTCTCTCTCTTTCTGTCTGTTTCTCTCTGTCTCTCTCTGTCCATCTCTGTCTTTCTATGTCTGTCTCTTTCTCTGTCAGTCTGTCAGACACCCCGTGCCGGGGAGGGCCCTGCCCCTTCCACGAAAGTGAGAAGCGCCTGCTTAGAGAGGCCCAGAGGAATCTAGACCGACGAGACTTGCTAGGCTTCGCCACTCGGCTTATGATTTCGGGAGGTCGAGGCCGGGTCCCCACTTGGATGGAAGGGGCATTTTCACACTTTTCTCTCTGTCATGTGTGGCATCCCTAATTCTCATATTTTCCTGATCAGCTCCTCGACTTAAAAATACACGGTTAAGGCCAGGTGCGGTGACTCACGTCTGTCATCCCAGCACTTTGGGAGGCCGAGGCGGGTGGATCACCTGAGGTTGGCAGTTCGAGACCAGCCTTGCCAACATGGCGAAACCCCGTCTCTACTAAAAATAGTTAATTGAGTCGAGCGTGGGGGGGCAGGCGCCTGTAATGCCAGCTACTCGGGAGGCTGAGGTGGGAGCATCGCTTGAACCTGGGAGGCGGAGGCTGCAGTGAGCCGAGATCGCACCACTGCACTACAGCCCGGGCTGTAGAGTGAGTGAGACTCTGTTTCTAAATAAATAAATAAATAAATACATTCTTTTCCGTGCTGACTGACACTTGCAGGCATCGGTTGTCTTCGGGCATCACCTAGCGGCCACTGTTATTGAAAGTCGAGGTGACACGGAGGGAGGTCTCGCTGACTTCACGGAGCCTGGGGCAACCGATTTCTCTCTCTCCCTTCTGGAGGCCCCTCCCTCTCTCACTCTTTGCCTAGGGAACCTCCGCCCTGGCGGGGGCCCTATTGTTCTTTGATCAGCGCTTTAGTTTTCTTTGTGTGTTGGTTTCTTTCATGCGCATAGACTCTTCTACTTGGGTTTTAGGAGGGGTCAGTTTAATTTTCAAGTCGCCCCCCGGCTCCCCCCACTACCCACGTCCCTTTACCTTCATTTAGTGAGTCAGTTAGGTGGGTTCCACCCAAACTCCCCACCCCCCGCCTCCCAACACCCTGCTTGGAAACCTTCCGGAGCCACCCCGGTGTGCCTCCGTCTTCTCTCCCCTTCCCCCACCCCTTGCCGGCGATCTCATTCTTGCCAGGCTGACATTTGCAACGGTGGGCGTCAGGCCTCACTCAGTGGCCACCGTTTTTGAAGATGGGGGTGGCCCGGTCCCACTTCCCCAGAGGCAGCTTGGGCCAATGGCATAGCCCTTGACCCGCGTGGGCAAGCGGGCGGGTCTGCAGTTGTGGGTTTTTTCCCCCGCTTCCCTCTTCAGGCCTCCCTCCCTAGGAAAGCTTCACCCTGGCTGGGTCTCAGTCACCTTTTATCATGATGTTTTAGTTTCTCCGCCCTCCGGCCAGCATAGTTTCACAATGGGAATGACGTCACAGCTCTAGTCTGGGCCTTCTTAGCATTTGCCCAAAATAGAAACGCTTTCTGAAAACTAATACTTTGCTCACTTAAGATTTCCAGGGACAGTGCCTTGGCCCGTGTTTGTTGGCTTGTTTTGTTTTGTTCGTGTTTTTCCTTTTTCTTTTGTATTTCTTTTTAGATGAAGTAGAAATCCCCAGTTTTCAGGAAGACGTATATTTTTCCCCAAGACATGTTAGCTGCGGTTTTCTCCTGTTGTTAACTAACGATTTTGTGAATCTCTGAACGTATAGTGAGAGCCGGTTGATGTTTACTAGACTTCAGAACATCTTATGTTCTAGAAATCCGTAAGCGATTGCTGCTGCTGCTCTTGCTGCTGCTGCTGCTCTTGTTGCTGTTGTTGTTGTTGTTTTCAAAGCACAACTCGGCCACCGTTTATGGGATCAAAAGCCTTATAAAATATGTGTAATTATTTCCTGAGTGCGCCCTTCCTCCTCCTCTCTCTGTCTCTCTGTCTCTCTTTCTCCGTCTTCTCTCTGTCTCTGTCTCTCTCTCTCTGCCTATTTCTCTCTCTGTCTCTCTGCCTGTCTCTCTCACTGTGTCTGTCTTCTGTCTTACTCTCTTTCGCTGCCTGTCTGTCTCTCTCTCTCTCTGCCTGTCTGTCTCTCTCTCTCTCTGCCTGTCTGTCTCTCTCTCTCTCTCTCTCCCTGTCTGTCTCTTTCTCTCTGTCTCTCTCTTTCTGTTTCTCTCTGTCCATCTCTGTCTTTCTCTGTCTGTCTCTCTGTCTGTCTCTCTCTCTCTGTCTCTCTGTCTCTGTGTCTCTCTCTCTCTGCCTGTCTCTCTCACTGTGTCTGTCTTCTGTCTTACTCTCTTTCTCCTCCGGCCTGTCTGTCTCTCTCTGTCTCTCTCTCTGTTTCTCTCTGTCTCTCTCTGTCCGTCTCTGTCTTTCTCTGTCTGTCTCTTTGTCTGTCTGTCTGTGTGTATCTCTCTTTCTCTGTCTCGCTGTTTCTGTCTCTCTTCCTGTCTGTCTGTCTGTAGGTCTCTCTCTCTCTCCCTGTCTGTTTTTTTCTCTCTCTCTCTGTCTGTTTCTCTGTCTCTCTGTCTGTCTCTGCTTGTCTCTCTCTGTGTCTGTCTTCTGTCTTACTGTCTTTCTCTGCCTGTCTGTCTGTCTCTCTCTCTCTCCTTGTCTGTTTCTCTCTCTCTTTGTCTCTGTTTCTCTCTGTCTCCCTCTGTCTGTCTCTGTCTTTCTCTCTCTGTCTCTTTCTCTATCTGTCTCTCTCCTTCTTTCTCTCTGTCTGTCCATTGTCTCTGTCTCTGTGTGTGTGTGTCTGCCTTCTGTCTTACTCTCTTTCTCTGACTGTCTGCCTGTCTGCCTGTCTGTCTCTCTCTGTCTGTCTCTCTCTCTTTCTGTCTCTGTCTCTCTTTCTGTTTCTCTCTGTCTCTGTCCATCTCTGTCTTTCTCTGTCTGTGTCTTTATCTGTCTGTCTCTCTCTCTCTTTCTGTCTTTCTCTCTTTGTGTTTCTTTGTGTCTCTCTGTCTCTGTCTTTGTCTCTCTCTCAACCGGTCTCTGGCTCTCGCTATCTCCCACCCTCTCTTTCTTTGCAAAATAAGTTCAAGTACATCTAATCTAATCCATTACCACAGCCTGAATTCTTAACTTTAGACATCCCACATTTGATCTCCCTACAGAATGCTGTACAGAACTGGCGAGTTGATTTCTGGAGTTGGATACCTCATAGATACTACATATTAATAACGATCCAACCCTAACATCCGGGGTTGCGTCTCCCTTGACTGTCTCAAAAAATCATACCTCTGTTCACCTAGGATGCTCGGAAGGTTTTCTCAATATGCATCTGCTCGTGTCCTACATGAACTGTGACTGAGCCCTGTCCATTCTGTCTCAAATATGTATCTGCAAACACGTCTCTCCACTTCCACAACTACCCATGGCCCATTGTGGAACCATTGGCTCTTTGAAAAAAAATCCCAGAAGTGGCTTTGACTTTTTGGCTAGGAGGCCTAAACCTGCAGAGAGCTTTCCTGCCCAGGATTCTATGTGAACAAAAGTGCCTCTGCTGGGAGCTGGGATCCTCGGGACCATGCTTGCTACCGCTGGATGAGTCTCTGGAAGGACACACAGGACTCCACAAAGCTGACCTGTCCCACCGAGGTCAAATGGATACCTCTGCATTGGCCCAAGGCTTCCAACTTACATCACCATCACTAACCCTCGCCATCAGCATCCTTGTGAGCCTGCCCAAGGCCTTGACTCCCGGGAGACTCTTGGGAGCCCGGTCTTCGTCGGCTAAAGTACAAAGGGATGGCGACTTCCACCCACAAGGTCCCCACTGAACTGTGAAGATGTGGAGCGTAGGTCAGAGAGGGGACCAGGAGGGGAGACGTCCTGACAGGCGATGAGTTAACTAGGCTCTGGCCACCCCACTCACGTCCCACGTCCTGGGCACCCGCGAGACACTGCCGCTTTATCCCCTTCTCTGTCCACAGCCGCCCCCACCCCACCCCGCAACCCACGCACACATGCTGGAGGTTACAAAACTACACGGCGTGAATAGAGCCTGACGGAGCGAGAGCTCATTTCACGAGGTGGGGGGGTGGGGTGGGGTGGGGGTTGGGGTGTCTGTAGAGAGCCCGATTCTACCTCGTGGGTGGCTACAGGATACAAATGAATATTGCTTCTTGGGCGGAGGGGCTTCCTTAGGCCGTCATGTTTGCGAGACTATCTCTCAAAACCTCCCTTGAGGCCACAAAACAGATTCCAACTCACCCCTCGACGTTTCCCCGGGTGCTGGATGTATCCTGTCAAGAGACCTGAGCCTGAAACGTTGAGTGAAACACCTTTATTGGCTTTGTGTGTTTGTTTGTTTCTGAGATGCAGTCTTGCTCTGTCCCCCGCCCCGGCTGGAGTGCAGTGGCATGATCTCAGCTCACTGCAACTTCTGCCTCCTGAGTTCGAGCGATTCTCCTGTCTCAGCGCCACCACACCTGGCTCATTTTTTTATTTTTAGTAGACACGGTGTTTCATTGGTTTTCACTGGAGATTCTAGATTCAAGTCACACCTCACTGTGTGCCACATAATGACTTCTTTTTTTTTCTTTTCTTTTTTTTTAAAAGCACAATATATCTGCTTTATTTGAGTGGCTTTATATATCGTTATAATTGTGTTATAGATGAAGAAAATATATTAAACACAGTGCTAATGATAGTGAAAGTGAAAAACAAAAGAAAGGCTATCTATTTTGTAGTTAGAATAAAGTTGCTCAGTATTTAGAGTTACCTAAATATGTCAGCATTTAAACCCCTCCTAGTAAAAGCTTGCCAATCTGAATAATCCTCCTTTAAACACAATTTTTGATACGGTTAAAGTTTTTAAGAATGCGACTCCTGCAGAATAGCTGAACAGACAATACACATTTAAAAAAGAACAACACAAGGATCAACCAGACTTGGGAAAAATTAAAAAACAACACAAGTCTTATGAAGAACTGAGTTCTTAAAATATTACGGATAACATAGCTATCAGAAGAGAAGGCTGTATTGGTAAGTTGATTGTTACATTTGTCAGCAAAAGCTAGCACTATTTTTTTTTGGCAATCTCTCAGGCACTGCAACTACTACTGCAAAATGAGATATAATCCATTAAACAACATACTCACAAATGAAAAAATGTTTTAGTAATATAATGCTTCAGATTTAGAAGCAAATCAAGTGTTAAAACTCAACTGTTATAATAATTAACCCCAAAGATAACCGTATCTGACAAAAAGGCTTCCACAGAGTTATGACTTCAGAATTATACTTTCTCTTGATATTTATTTATTTTATTTTATTTTATTTTATTTTATTTTATTTTATTTCATTTTATTTTATTTTTTTCTTGAGATGGTTTCTTGCTCTGTTGCCCAGGCTGGTGTGCAATGGCATAATCTTGGCTCACTGCAACCTCCACTTCCCGGTTCAAGCGATTTTCCTGCCTCAGCCTCCTGAGTATCTGGGACTACAGGCGCCCGCCACCATTCCCAGCTAATTTTTATACTTTTAATAGATACGGGGTTTCGCCATGTTGGCCAGCATGGTCTCGATCTCTTGACCTTGTGATCCACCCGCCTCAGCCTCCCAAAGTGCTGGGATGACAGGCATGAGCCACCGTGCCTGGCCTTCTCTTGATATTTAAACTTTTAAGTCAGTCCAGAAAAATACAATAAATGTCAACAGTAATTATAGTGTTGAGGTAGAAGTAGGACCAAACTTTTTCATATGTTATTCAGTTGATAACAATATGACCTGGGTAGTAATTTCCTATGTCTCTACTTATACACAAGTACAAAAAAGTAAAACAGAGATACTGCTAAATAAAAGGGTACACTTAGTTCCTAATAGTAACTCAATAAACTGGAACACTGTCAAAAAGCAGCAACTAGTGAATTTTTTCAGTGATTTTTTCTATTATCCAATAAGTGAATTATGCTATTCCTTTCCAATTTCCCAAGCACTTTTTGTCTCAATCACCATTTCTGTGTTCGAAGAAAAAGTAACAAATCAAGTAACAAAACTAAACAAGCAAACAAACAAACAAAACACAACTAGAGCATCTGCAAAAGTTTGGTAGAAGACTGAAACTCTTGAGTATAAGGATCTGGTATTCTATTATCATTAGTTAACTTAAGAGTTTGTTAAAGGCATACATTTCATAAGAAAGCGTGTTAGTTTGAAGTTATTGACCAGTATGTACCATCCCTAAGTATTAGTAACCAAATTCATGACAATAAAGAGCTATCTAACAAGAAAAATTAGTGACTACCAGCACCATCAACAAGACTTTGTCTTTACACTTCATTACCACTTACCATGCATTATAATGTCTAGGATTGACTCTGATAGCATTTCGAAAACTAGCTAATGCTTTGTCCAATTCTTCAGTTAAGACAAACTCATTCCCTAATAGAGTATAGGCATAAGCATAATCTGGATCCACTTGGATAGCTCTCTGGAAGAATTTAATTGCAATATCGTATTCCTGTTGCAGACTGAAACAGTTCCCTGCAGCACACCAGGCCTCTGGCAAATTTTTATCCATGTCTGTTAAGTCTTTTGACAGAAATGAAAGAGCAACATCTTTTTGAAGATACCAAAGTGTTGTAGAGTAGATTTCCATGGCTTCGACTATAATTCTCAATCCTTCTAACCTCTGAGAATATTCTTTCAGCTTGCATGGACTCTGAAAGTTCAAAATAGGCCCTTCCAATTTGGCACAGTACCCAACCAGTATTGTAGTGGTGAGAAGGTAAATGGCTCAAAATATTTATAGCTTCTTTGCAGTGGTATGAACACAAAGCTAAATAACCTTCCCCCTTTCACGAAGAAGGCTCATCAAGTCTTCTGCTGCTGCTTTTTGTAGACTAAAAGCCTGAATCTGAGGTGTGATTGTGGATATTTTCCCTTCTGAAATGATGGAAGAGTCCAATTTTGTTGTTTCCAGGCTGTCATTTATATTAGGTTGAGTTATTACTCCTTTATTAGTTTTACTTTTTGTTTTTCTGTTTGGGATTTTAGGTGGAAACTTCATTTTTAATTTCTTCCTATTCTCCTTGGTTGTGGAACTGTCACGAGTAAAGAGTCGTGAACTTCTTCAATGCAGTGCATTTGGGGGAGATATCATAGTGTGGCTCAATACCTGAGGTGTTGTACTTATTTATGGACCAGAACTTTCTGTTTGTGCAAGAATTGGAGTTACCTCTCGGCTATTTCCACTCTGTGAGAAGACAGACTTTGCTCCAATTTGGCCTATTCTGGCAACAGACTTTTTTGAAGGGACTCCGGTGGATGTCATATCCATTACAGAAGGTGTATTAGTGTAGTTTTGTAAATAGGATCCATCTCCAGGACTTGGGGTTTCTAATGGTAAAATCCCAAAACTTGGGGTTAATGGACTAAGAGATGCTGGTCCTCCTAATAAAGTTCGATCAGTTTTTGCTTTATTTTGAACCTGTTTAGATAATATGGAAGTTCCTGTTCCCAGTGGGAGAGTATCAGGTGAAATTACAGCTGAATCAATAGAAGACACTGGGGAATCTGTATTCAAGGAGTACTTTGAATTGGAAGATTCTAAATTCAATCTGTTTAATTCAGTTGCGTTCTGGGGTGTTTCCATAAGAACAGTCTCAGGCTGTCTGTGACATAAACTATGACGAGGTACTTGTGTGGTGCAACACTTGGACAGACAGTTGCTAAAGTTATGTAAAGATGTGAATTTAAAACTTTGGTCAGGATCTGGCTTTTCACCTATTTCAAATAATGATTCAAAGGGATACCAGAGGAAAGGATTTAAACTAAGGCTCTTTTGGTAGCATTCTGATCCTTTGGCAAGCCGATCTGTCTTGCAATATACATGTCCCAACAATGGAAGGGGAAAGCAAGCTGAATCACCAAACTCAGTAACAATATCATCATGGCTTTTCTGCTTATGAAACACTCCACCAGATAAGATTTGTTCCCCTTCTGCAAGCTTGCTGACATCAAAACAACATTTTGCAAGCAGGTACTTGCATTGCGGTGTAGGACAACTGTGTCCTTTCAAGAGTCTATATGCTTTATAGGCCTTTCCTGGGCAGTAAGAACAGGTCGCCAGTAAAAACAAGGCTTCTTCTGAGTGTACTTCTGCGTAAAGGCGTTCTGCGAGGAAAACCCCATCTCGGTAAGCATAGTGGTTTAGTGCTTGCCATGTAGCAACCTGGACGGGTTCCTGTAGCATCGTCATCCTCGAGGCTCAGACCCACTTTCTGCAGTGCCTCAGGCACCCCCCCACCCCGCCCACACCCCTCCCCGCCGTAGTGGCTCCGGCCCGGCCAGCCTCGGCTCATTTAAACTCACCAGTTACCAGGGGATGGGGGAGGCCGAGCCAGAATGACTTCTTTACCCTGCCACCTCTGGAAGCCCGGCCCCTTGTGATCCATTGCAAAGCGAGAGTCACCTCATGTTTGGAAAACGGATCCGCTCCCAAGTTCAGTGGAGGGATGTGGCATGTAGGATGAAGGACTCTCTTCTTCTGATTGGGTCTGCACAGTGGGGCCTAGGGCTGGAGCTCTCTCTGTGTGGACCGCTGACTCCCTCTACCTTGGGTTCCTTCGGCCACACCCTGGGACACGGGCCTTGGCAGATTCTGACCCTTCCTCGCACTAAAGTCGCTGTCAGAAAGCCCATCTCGTGCTCGGATGCCCCGAATGGCTGTGGCCCGAATGACAATGTTTCCTCTCTGGAAACGTTGGAAATCTCTCCTCTACGCGTGGCCAACTGAAACCACAGGAGCTCGGGACACAAGCCGCCATCCACCTCACTGCTTTCGGTAGAGAATGCTGAGTCTCTTACTGACTCTCTCTTGACTTGAGTTCTTCATGGGTGTGTGGTTAAGACGTAGTGAGACCAGATGTATTAACTCAGGCCAGGTGCTGGTGGCTCACACCTGTAACCCCAACACTTTGGGAGGCTGAGGCCCTAGGATCCCTTGAGGAATCGCCTAACCCTGTGGAGGTGGAGGCTGCAGTGAGTGAGCCATAATGGTGTCACTGCACTCCAGTCTGAGTGAAAGACAGAGTGAGGCCCTGTCACAGGCAGGCAGGCAGGCTGGCAGGCAGGCAGGCAGGCAGACAGACAACAGCTGTATTATGATCTTCTCAGGGTAGGAAGCAAAAATAACAGAATACTGCGCTTAATTTTTTTTTTGGGGGGGGGACGGAGTTTCACTCTTGTTGCCCAAGCTGGAGTGCAATGGCACCATCTCAGCTCACTGCAACCTCCACCTCCCGTGTTGAAGTGATTCTCCTGCCTCAGCCTCCTGAGTAGCTGAGATTACAGGCATGGGCCACCACACCTGGCTGATTTTGTATTGTTAGTAGAGACGGCATTTCTCCATGTGGGTCAGGCGGGTCTCGAACTGGCCACCTCAGGTGATCTGCCCACCTCTTCCTCCCAAAGTGCTGGGATGACAGGCGTGAGCCATTGCGCCCGGCCAGCTACGTTTTTTTTTTAATTTTCAATTTTGATCTCTTTATTATTATTATTATTTTTTTGAGACGTAGTCTTGCTCTGTTGCCCAGACTGGAGTGCAGTGGCGTGATGTCGGCTCACTGCAAGCTCTGCCTCCCGAGTTCACGCCATTCTCCTGTCTCAGCCTCCCAAGCAGCTGGCACTACAGGCGCCCGCCACTGCGCCTGGCTAATTTTTTGTATTTTGAGTAGAGACGGGGGTTTCACTGTGGTAGCCAGGATGGTCTCGATCTCCTGACCCCCGCGATCCGCCCGCCTCGGCCTCCCAAAGTGCTGGGATGACAGGCGTGAGCCACCGCGCCCGGCCTATTTATCTATTTATTAACTTTGAGTCCAGGTTATGAAACCAGTTAGTTTTTGTATTTTTTTAGAGACGAGGTTTCACCATGTTGCCAAGGCTTGGATCTAGGGATCCACCTTCCCTCGCCTCCCAAAGTGCGGGGATGAAAGGCGTGAGCCTACTGCGCCTGGCTCCACCCGTTCCCCCCCCAGCTTATCACTCAGGTGCCCAAAGTCCAGCGGTGGTGTGTGGTTCCCACCCCCAGCGCCCCCTCCTCCGGTCGCCGCCGCGGTGTCCGCGAGTGGGTCCTGAGGGAGCTCGTTGGTGTGGGGGTCGAGGAGGTTGAGTGAGAAGCACCCCTGCCACGCGGGGAAGGGCGTCGCCTGGTCTGGCGAGCGCAGGTCCTGTGATCCCCTCTGGTTGGTGCGCACAGGCAGTGTGAGCTATCGCGGTGGGCTTGGGCAGGTGACGCGTGCGCCGGCCGGCCGCCGAGGGGCTACCGTTCTGCCTCCGACAGGTTGTGTGTGGATTTACTTGGAGGTGCTTTGTCTAGGAGAAAGGAGGCTGGTGGACGGGGGGCCCTTGGGGGATTGCGCACACGCATAGCGGCCAGGCCCCCCGCCCAGACCGCGAAGGTTCAAGGTTGCCGCACGCAGATTTTTCCTGGTACCGCAGGCCCCCTGCTTTCCCCAGGCATCCCTGAGCACCTCTAAGGGCCCAACGAGGGGCGACTGGCTGGTGGGGAGTGTGACCCACCCTCCGTGAGAAAGCCTTCTCTAGTGATCCGAGAGGTGTGCCTTTGGGGTAGCGGATCCCCCGGCCTTCCGCCTCTCTCTGCGTTATGGTAGCGCTGCTGTAGCGACTAGCTCGCAGAGGACACTCCTCCACTTCCCCCTCGACGGGGTGAGGTGGGGAGAGCTAGGGTTCCCCTGCCTCCGCGGTGGGGACGGAGGGCGGCTCGTCGCCTACTGTGTGGCCCGCGCCTCCCCCTTCTGAGTCGCGGGAGGATCCCTCCGTGCCGCGCCGGCGTCCTAGCGGTTGGGAGGCTGCGCGAGCGGTGGCTGTGCCCGGCGTTCCCTCTGGCGCGTGACCCGCTCCGCTGCGAGCCGTCTCTCCACCCGCTCCCCTGAGGAGCAGCGACCAGTGTCGACGACCGCGTTTGTGTGGCACGGGGTTGGGCCGCCTGGCCATGGGAAGCTTCCCAAGTGGGGGGCGCGCCGGTCTCCCGGAGCTTGACCGGGTCGGAGGATGGACGAGAAACGAGCAACCTAGCCCTGGCATTGGGTTTGTGGCTGAGGTCGCTTTGGGGTCCCGATGGCGGGACCCGGGCTCATGAGGCGGGTCTTGGTGGGTGCTGAGGGCCGTCCGGCGTCCTAGGCGGGTCGCCGCAGGACCTCCCTCGTGTCTGTGGCGGTGGGATCCCGTGGCCGTGTTTTCCTGGTGGACCGGCCATGCCTGAGGTTTCTCCCCGAGCCGCCCCTCTGCGGGCTTCCGGGTGCCCTTGCCCTCGCGGTCCCTGGCCTTGCGTCTGTGCCCCCCTCCCCGCCCGCGTATCCTCTCTCCCCGAGCGGCTCACCGGCTTAGGCTGTGGTGGTCCCGTCTGGGACCAAACCCGGCTCCGCCTTGTGTGGCGGCGCCACCGCCGGCCACTTGTTGGCCCGTTGTCCGTGTCCCTGGGCGCTCGCCTTCGGGACCAGGTCGGCGGCGCCCCGCATGGGCCTGGTGTGAGCCCGGAGGGTATGGGGTCGGCGTGCAGCGCGCGCAGGGAAGAGGGTTCTGGGGGCTGGCCGCGATGGCGGCGGCGGTGGGGAAGCCGCGGGCCCGCCGAAGGCCAGTCGGCCGCTCCAGGTGCTGCGCGGGGCCGCCTTCGTGCTTGGAGGCCGCTGGCGGTGAGATCCCGGGCACCGCGGTCCGCCTCTCGTTCGCTGCCCAAACGTCGGGGCTGCCCCGCGCCCGCCGCGCGTGAGTGGCCGCCGGTCCCTCGCGGCTGCCATGCACGGGTCGGGCGTTCTGCCTGGTTACACGTGGGCACGAAGGGTCGGGAGTGGTGAGCCCATCGGGGGGTGTTGTGTAGTGTGGGTGTATGGGATGTCCGGTTCGCCGCCCCATCACCCGGCTCCCACCGCCCCGCGCTGCTCCCTCCCTCCCACACGCCAGGTCGACCGCCCTGCCGCACCCATCCTCGCGACTGGGATGCCGGGCTCATCCTCGCGAGGCCTGGAGGCCGCTTTCTACCTACTTGGTTGATCCTACCAGTACCATATGCTTGTCTCAAAGATTATGCCATACATGTCTAAGTACACAGGGCCAGTACAGTGAAACTGCGAATGGCTCATTAAATCAGTTATGGTTCTTTTGATCGCTCGCTCCTCTCCTACTTTGAAAACTGTGGTAATTCTAGAGCTAATGCATGCCGAAGGGCGCTGACCCCCTTCGTGGGGAAGATGCGTGCATTTATCAGATCAAAACCAACCCGGTCAGCCCCTCTCTGGCCCCGGCCAGGGGGTCGGGTGCCACCAGCTTTGGTGACTCTAGATAGCCTCGGGCCAATCGCACACCCCCCGTGGCAGCGACGACCCATTAGAACGTCTGCCCTATCAACTTTTGATGGTAGTCGCTGTGCCTACCATGGTGACCACGGGTGATGGGGAATCAGGGTTCAATTCTGTAGAGGGAGCCTGAGAAATGGCTACCACATTCAAGGAAGGCAGCAGGCATGCAAATTACCCACTCCCGACCCAAGGAGGTAGTGATGAAACATACCAATACAGGACTCTTTCGAGGTCCTGTAATTGGAATGAGTCCACTTTAAATCCTTTAACGAAGATCCATTGGAGGGCAAGTCTAGTGCCAGCAGCCGCGGTAATTCCAGCTCCCATAGCATATGTTAAAGTTGCTGCAGTTAAAAAGCTCCTAGTTGGATCTTGGGAGCGGGCGGGCGGTCCGCCAGGACGCGAGCCACCGCCTGTCCCCGCCCCTTGCCTCTTGGCGCCCCCTCGGTGCTCTTAGCTGAGTGTCCCGCAGCCCAAAGCATTTACTTTGAAAAAATTAGAGTGTTCAAAGCAGGTCCGAGCCGCCTGGATACCGCAGCTAGGAATAATGGAATAGGACCGCGGTTCTATTTTGTTGGTTTTCAGAACTGAGGCCAGGATTAAGAGGGACGGCCGGGGGCATTCGTATTGTGCCGCTAGAGGTGAAATTCTTGGACTGGCGCAGTTCAGACCAGAGTGAAAGCATTTGCCAAGAATGTTTTCATTAATCAAGAACAAAAGCCGGAGGTTCGAAGATGATCAGATACCGTCGTAGTTCCGACCATAAACGATGCCGACTGGCGATGTGGCGGCGTTATTCCCATGACCCCGCTGGGCAGCTTCCAAGAAACCAGTCTTTGGGTTTTTAGGTTCCGGGGGGAGTATGGTTGCAAAGCTGAAACTTAAAGGAATTGGTGGAAGGGCACCACCAGGAGTGGAGCCTGGGCTTAATTTGACTCAACATGGGAAAAATCACCCGGCCCGGACATGGACCGGATTGACAGATTGATAGCTGTTTCTCTGTTCCATGGGTGGTGGTGCATGGCCTTAGTTGGTGGAGTGATTTGTCTGGTTAATTCCGATAACCAATGAGACTCTGGCATGCTAACTAGTTACGTGACCCCCGAGCGGTCGGCGTCCCCCAACTTCTTAGAGGGACAAGTGGCCTTCAGCCATCCGAAATTGAGCAATAACAGATCTGTGATGCCCTTAGATGTCCGGGACTGCACGCGCGCTACACTGACTGGCTCAGCATATGCCTACCCTACGTGGCAGAGGCGGGTAACCTGTTGAACCCCATTCGTGATGGGGATGGGGGATTGCAGTTATTCCCCATGAAGGAGGAATTTCCAGTAAGTTCGGGTCATAAGCTTGCCTGAAGTCCCTGCCCTATGTACACACCGCCCGTCTCTACTACTGATAGGATGGTTTAGTGAGGTCCTCGGATC